>NC_000006.12:160525335-160676850 GCF_000001405.40 Homo sapiens
ATTTTTTCCAGTTTTATTGAGGTACACTTCACAAATAAAAATTATATATATTTAAGATGTACAATGTAATGCCTTAATATAGATGTACACTGTGAAATTATTATCATAAGCTAATTAAAATATTCACCACCTCACATAATACTTTTGTGTATATGGTGAGGACACTTAAGATCAACTCTTTTAGCAAATTTCAAGTATGCAATACAGTATTATTAACTCTAGTCACCATTCTGCACATTAGATCTCCAGAACCTATTTATCTTGCAAAGCTATACAGTTGTATCCTTTGATCAACATCTCTCCATTTCCCCCTTCCACGGCTCTGGCAATCACTAAGCTACTCTCTATTTCTAGGAATTTGACTTTCTTAGATTCCATATGTAAGCGAGATCACACAGTATTTGCCTTTCTGTGTCTGGCTTATTTCACTTATTATAATGTCCTCCAGGTTGATGCAAAGGCAGGATTTTCTTCTTCATTAAGGCTGAATAATATTCCTCTGTGTGTGTGTGTGTGTGTGTGTGTGTGTGTGTGTATAAAACATATATATATAGATACACATTTTTATCATCCATCCTTTCATTTATTTATTTGTGTAAGTTGAACTATTCTTGCATTCGTGAAACAAATCGCACTTGATCATGGTGAATGATCTTTTTAAAGTGCTACTGGATTCAGTTTTCTAGTATTTTGTTGCGGATTTTTGCACATATGTTTATCAGGGATATTGCCTGTAATGTTCTTTTATTAGCGTATTATTTTTCTGTGTTTAGTATCAGTGTAATGCTATCCTCATAAAATGAATGTGAAAGCATTCCTTCTTTTTAGTTTTTAAGAAGAGTTTGAGGAGGGTTGATATTAGTCTTTGTAATGTTTGGTATGCTTCAGCAGTGAAGCCATTAGGTCCTGGCCTTTTCATTGATGGGAGACTTGTTATTACTGATACAATCATGTACACATTATTGGTCTGTTCAGATTTTCTATTTCTTTCTGAGTCAGTCTTTGTAGGTTTTTTGCTCTAGGAATTCATCCATTTCTTCTAAGTTATCCAATTTGTTGGCATGTAATTATTCATAGTAGTCTCTTATGATCGTTTGTACTTCTGTAGTATCTATTGTAATGTCTCCTCTTTCTGGTTTTATTTGAGTATTCTCTGTTTTTCTTAATCTAGCTAAAAGTTGGTCAATTTTGTTATTTTATTGAAAACCAACTAGTAGTTTTATTTCTTTTTGGTATCAGTTTTTTAGTCTTTACTATTTCTGATGTGATCTTTATTATTTCTTTCCTTCTACTAACTTTTGGGTTAGTTAGTTCTTTGTCTAGTTTGTTGAGGTGTAATCTTAGGTTGCTTATTTGAGATCTTCTTTTTTAATGGAAGTGTTTATTGGTAAAAGCTTCCCTCTTAAAACCACTTTTGCTGCATACTATAAATTATTGGTATGTTAGTGTGTCCATTTTCCTTTGTCTTGAGTTGTTTTTGTTTTCAATTCAAAATCATATTTATTATGTTTTAAAGCAAGTGACTTATTTTAGTATAGGATAGATTAACTCATTCCAAATGATAGCTTTCTCCAATTAAAGCTACATTGTTAAAACTTGAAAAAATTATCCAGAATTTATCTTTCATGGTGATACTTAATTTCAGTAGGGCTTTTCACATTTTGTCTGATTGGCATATAAATCAAAAACAAATATTTCTTTTTTTATTATTATACTTTAAGTTCTGGGGTACATGTGCACAACGTGCAGGTTTGTTACATAGGTATACATGTGCCGTGTTGGTTTGCTGCACCCATCAACTCGTCATTTACATTAGATATTTCTCCTAATGCTATCCCTTCACCAGCTTCCCACCCCCTGACAAGCCCTGGTGTGTGATGTTCCCCGCCCTGTGGCCAAGTGTTCTCATTGTTCAATTCCTACCTATGAGTGAGAACATGCGGTGTTTGGATTTCTGTCCTTATGATAGTTTGCTGAGAATGATGGTTTCCAGCTTCATTCATGTCCCTGCAAAGGACATGAACTCATGTCTTGATTTTTTAAAATTTCCTCTTTTAATATCTTCTTCGACTCATTGATTGTTCAGGAGCATATTGATTAATTTCTATCTATTTGTGGATTTTCCAATATTCCCCCATTATTGATTTCTAGTTTCATACGATTATGATCTAAAAAAAAAACCTGATATGATTTCAATCTTCTTACATTTTTTGACTAGTTTTGTGACCTAACATATGATCTATTCTGGAGAATATTCCCTGTGCACTTGAGAATAATGTGTATTCTACTGCTGTTGGATGGAATGTTCTATATATTTCTGTTAGGTCTACTTGGCTAAAGTGTAGTTTAAGTCTCGTGTTTCCATATTGATTCTCTGTCTGGATGATCTGTCCATTAGTGAAAGTGGAGCTATTCAAGTGTGCTACTATGATTATATTACAGTGTAGCTCTCCTGTGAGATCTATTAATGTTTGTTTTAGTTACTATATGTAGGTACTACAATTTTGGGTATATATATTAATATATATTTATAATTGCTATATATTTGTAATGAACTGATCTCCTTATTATTACATTCTTCTTCGTCTCTTTTTACAGTTTTTGACTTAAAGTCTGCTTTACCTCATGTTGAGTTGAGTTTCCCTTATCCAAAATGCCTGAAACCAGAAATGTTTTGAATTTTGAATTGTTTTTGCAATGTTTGCATTATGATATGGTTTGGCTGTGTCCCACCCAAATCTCATCGTGAATTGTAACCCTCATGATCCCCATGTGTCAAGGGAGGAGCCCAGTGGGAGGGGATTGGATCATGGGGGCGGTTTTCCCTATGCTGTTCTTGTGAGAGTGAGTGAGTTCCCACAAGATCTGATGGTTTTATAAGTGTTTGACAGTTCCTCCTTCACACACTCACACTCCGTCCTGCCACCTTGTGAAGAAGGTGCCTGCTTCTCCTTCATCTTCCGCCATGATTATAAGTTTCCTGTGGCCTCCTTAGCCATGCTTCCTGTTAAGCCTGTGGAACTCTGAGTTAATTAAACATCTTTCCTTTATAATTACTCAGTCTCTTTGTAGTATTCTTTATAGCAGTGTGAGAATGGACTAATACAAATTATATATTTACTGTTTTTGCATCCCTAAACACAAAAATCCAAAATGCTCCGAAGAACATTTCCTTTGAACATCATGTTGGCACTTAAACATTTTTAATTTTGGAGTATTTCAGATTTCAGATGTTTGGATTAGTGATACTCAATCTGTATAACTACCCCTCTATCTTCTTGTTTCCATTTGCATAGAATATTTTTTCCATCCCTTTACTTTCAGTCTGTTTGAGTCCTTACAGGTGAAGTGAGTGTGTTATAGGCATCATATAGTTGGATCTTATTTTTTAATCTATTTGGCCACTGTATGTCTTTTTATTGGAAAATTTAATCCATTTCCATTCAAGATAATTATTTATAGGTAAGATCTGCTATCACCATTTTGTTAATTGCTTTCTGGTTGTTTTGTAGACCCTTCGTTCCTTTATTCCACTCTTCGTATCTTTATTTGTGATTAAGTGATTTTCTCTAGTGGTATGCTTTGATTCCTTTTTATCTTTTGTATATCTACTTTAGGTTTTTGCTTTGTGGTTACGATGGTGCTTACAAAAAAATCTTATAGTTATATCAGGCTATTATATAAGGTGTATAATAACAAAATCCTCCGAGCTAAAGCAGCATGTTCTAACCCAATGCAAAGAAGCTAAGAACCTTGAAAAAAGGTTACATGAATTGCTAAGTAGAATAACCAGTTTAGAGAAGAACATAAATGACCTGATCTGACTGAAAAACACAGCATAAGAACTTTGTGAAGCATATACAAGTATCAATAGCCAAATCGATCAAGCAAAAGAAAGGATATCAGAGATTGAAGATCAACTTAATGAAATAAAGCAAGAAGACAAGAATAGAGGATAAAGAATGAAAAGGAATAAACAAAGGCTCCAAGAAATATGGGACTATGTGAAAAGACCAAATCTACATTTGATTGATGTACCTGAAAGTGATGGGGAGAATAGAACCAAGTTGGAAAACACTCTTCAGGATATTATCAAGGAGAGCTTCCCCAACCTAGCAAGACAGACCAACATTCAAATTCAGGAAATACAGAGAACACCACAAAGATACTCCTCGAGAAGAGCCACCTCAAGACATAATCGTCAGATTCACCAAGGTTGAAATGAAGGAAAAATTTCTAAGGGCAGCCAGAGAGAAAGGTTGGGTTACCCGGAAAGGGAAGCCAATCAGACTAACAGTGGATCTCTCTGCAGAAACCCAACAAGCCCGAAGAGAGTGGGGGCCAATATTCAACATTCTAAAAGAAAATAATTTTCAACCCAGAATTTCATACCCAGCGAAACTAAGCTTCATAAGCAAAGGAGAAATAAAATCCTTTACAGACAAGCAAATGCTGAAAGATTTTGTCACCACAAGGCCTGCCTCACAAGAGCTCCTGAACGAAGCACTAAACATGGAAAGGAACAATTGGTACCAGCCACTGCAAAAACTACCAAATTGTAAAGGCCATCCACACTATGAAGAAACTGCATCAACTAATGGGCAAAATAACCCGCTAGCATCATAATGACAGGATCAAATTCACACATAACAATATTAACCTTAAATGTAAATGGACTAAATGCCCCCAATTAAAAGACACAGACTGGCAAATTGAATAAAGAGTCAAGACCCATTGGTGTGCTGTATTCAGGAAACCTATCTCATGTGCAGACATACATAGGCTCAAAATAAAGGGATGGAAGAATATTTACCAAGCAAAAGGAAAGCAAAAAGAAAAAAAAAAGCAGGGATTGCAATTCTAGTCTCTGATAAAATATACTTTAAGCCAACAAAGATCAAAAGAGACAAAGAAGGGCATTACTTATACAAAAATTAACTCAAGATGGATTAAAGACTTAAATGCAAAACCTAAAACCATAAAAACCCTGGAAGAAAACTTAGGCAATACCATTCAGGACATAGCATGGGAGAAGACTTCATGACTAAAACACTAAAAGCAATGGTAACAAAAGCCAAAATAGACAAATGAGATCTAATTAAACCAAAGAGCTTCTGCACAGCAAAAGAAACTATCATCGGAGTGAACAGGCAACCTACATAATAGGATAAAATTTTTGCCATCTATCCATCTGACAAAAGGCTAATATCCAGAATCTACAAAGAACTTAAACAAATTTACCAGAAAAAAACAACACCATCAAAAAGTGGGCAAAGGATATGAACAGATGCTTCTCCAAAAAAGGCATTTATGCAGCCAACAAACATATGAGAAAAGCTCATCATCACTGATCATTAGAGAAATGCAAATCAAAACCACAATGAGATACCATCTCATGCCAGTTAGAATGGCGATCATTAAAAAGTCAGGAAACAACAGATGCTGGAGAGGATGTGGAGAAATAGGAATGCCTTGATATTGTTGGTGGGAGCATAAATTAGTTCAACCATTGTGGAAGACAGTGTGGTGATTCCTCAAAGATCTAGCACCAGAAACACCATTTGACCCTGCAATCCCATTACTGGGTATATACCCAGAGGATTATAAATCATTCTGCTATGAAAACACATGCACACGTATGTTTATTGTGGCACTATTCACAATAGCAAAGAGTTGGAACCAACCCAATTGCCCATCAATGTTAGATTGGATAAAATGTGGCACATATACACCATGGAATTCTATGCAGCCATAAAAAAGGATGAGTTCATGTCCTTTGCAGGGACATGGATGAAGCTGGAAACTATCATTCTCAGCAAACTAACACAAGAACAGAAAAACAAACACGGCATGTTCTCACTCATAAGTGTGAGTTGAACAATGAGAACACATGGACACAGGGAGGGCAACATCACACACCTGGGCCTGTCAAGGGGTGGAGGGCTAGGGGAGGGATAGAACTAAAAGAAATACCGAATTAGATGACAGGTTGATGGGTGCAGCAAACTACCATGGCACGTGTACATCTATGTAACAAACCTGCACATTCTGCACATGTACCCCAGGACGTAAAGTCTAAAAAATAAAAATAAAAATAGATGGGATGAAAAGAGCATGAAAATTTTGAAGACCAAAACCAAAATTAATTCAAATCAAAATAAGTGCAGAGTTTATTTTTAACAAATGTCATAGCTATGACACCTTAATACAGAATTTGTCAGTCAGACCTTAAAAGCTTATACACAAAAATACCAAAAATGCCAAGGTTTGGCATAGCTGGTAGCTGGGAACAGTGTCTTCGTTTGATTGCTGTCTATTATTTCCAGCATGCTAAATCCTTACCCACGTTTCAGCTTCTAAGTAGGTTGATGCTTCACTCTGTCTCCCGTCCAATTAATTATTTCTCATCATTCCCTCAATCCAAGTAACAAACCTTGAAACACGAGCATAGACACCAGGCTTATTGGGGCGTGCACAGCCAAGACCCCAAGAAGTGACTCCTTGTAAAATGTATTTGTCCTTCTCGAAGCAAACCAGAGGCCCTCCACTGTCACCCTAAACAGAGGTAGGGGAAAATTCATGTGAGCTTTAAGCTGCCAACCTTTTAATATGGGATGCCATCCTTCTCTTATCCATATGTACATTTTCCCAGTAATTCAAATCAGAAAGGAACTTATGAGCATATTACTCAAGCATCTGCAGTGCTTAAGTACTTAGCAAAGTCTATTCAACAAAACCACATCACTTAGTTTTTTCCTGGGAAAAAAAATAATCCCTTGTGAATCCTGCATGCATTGCTTCCTAACTTGGTGTTTCCTTTAGACTGGGCTAGCCTGGACATCATTGTTAAGTGTGTGTAATTTGTCTCGGTCCTGTACCCTCTACCTTCCTCTCTACTGGAAAAGCCACCACTTCAGTCACTGGTGACCAGCACACACCAGGAAGGTGAGTGGCCTGAGGTAGTTATGGCACTTACGGCTCCCTTGCTATGGATCTGGAACTCAAGCCCCAAGACGTCTCCTTAGATGATCTGAATATGCATTCAGGGACAGATCTGGGGAGTTTCTGAGCAACACTTAGACTGGGGTCTTCCACTGACAAAACCTTCCTGAATTTGCCACTTTGGGACTGACGTCTAAGGGACTGAGACTGAGACGGGAGAGCACAAGACTTTGATCTATTGATCTTTTCTTACCTGGCAACTGTCAGTGCCTCTGGCCAAATGCTCAGCACAAATATACTTATAGTGATTGCACACTTCATTCTCAATAACAAGGAGCTGGGCTTCCTTGAGAAGGCCAGTCCCAAAGGTACCTGTGTTTAAAAAGATGAAAGAAATGGTTACTGAGGCCAAAGCTTGTTCACGAGGAAATTCCAGAAGAACAGAGCAGTGGAGCTGGACCTCCTGTCTGTCCGTGAGGCTGCAGAACACAAGGCAGCTCCCAATGCCACTGGACTCTCTGACCCATTAAAGTGCAAATGTCATATAAGATTTTATGTTCCCAAGACCTGGATTCAACAATCTGGGCTTTGTCATGCTGCTTTGGGGTTGGTTGTTGTTTGTGTACTTTTTGCTTTTCTTTTGAAGCTATCAAAATGATTTTTACAATGTAAAGAGAGTCTGAGAAATACAATTGCTATTCTTTTTATATACTTTTTTCAGATTTTTATATGCTTCTTTTACTATTACATCATAATGCACAATTTCCTATACTGATTTTTTCAATCAATGTTATATCATGAGTTTTTAAAAAAATGCTACAGTCTTCATAACTAATATTTTAATGAGGAGTGACTGCTTAATGGGCATGAGGTTTCCTTTGGGGATGAGAAAAATGTCCTGGAAATATGGTGACGGTTGCACACCATTGTGAATGTACTGAATGCCACTCAGTGGTACCTGCAAAAATGGTTAAAATAGTAACTCTATGTTGTATAAATTTTATTGCAATAAAAAAGAATAGTCATCATTTACTAAGAATCAACCTTTCCAGGCACAAGCTCATAATGTGGTATATCTCACTTAATCCTCACAACGGTCCTATGAAACAGGCACTTGTCATTCCTGTTCTTCAGTTGAGGAAACTGAGGCGTAAGGAGGTTGTATAGCTCAGCTTGAGTCTGGGTCTGCGGAGTCGCTGCCCAAATGCTTCCTCCCCATGCGTGTTGGCCCCACTCTTGCTTCCAACCTTCCACATGTTTGTTCATAAATTTCATTCTTATTCCTTATTACTTTCTGAAGTCTCAGTTCCCATAATTATATAGACATATTTCTATCTCACAGTAACATTGCCAAATTATTCTCTAAAAGGGTGTGACAGTGGAAAATGTCACTGGAAAACAATTACTTTGCCTCACCCTTGTGATATTCAATTTTTAAAATATTAGCTAACATAGTAGGTGGAAATTGTCCTGATTCATTTTCTAATTTACACTTCCTTGACAATTAGGGAGAAGAAATACTAGGGACAATTCTCCTCGTTGTAGTTCTTCTTTTGTGAAAAACTGCTTAATTTCCTTCGCCAAATTGAAACAGAACCTCTGCTAAAGTGCCAGAGGAAATGCTGTTTTTCCAGATGGACATGCCCAGGGATTTCTCAGTGCTCTCACAAATAATCCAAGTTTCCAATGTTGCAAGCCCAGCTCTCATTAGAATTTTGCAAAACTTTGCAAGCATGGCACAGGCTAGAACTGAGGCACTCTCTCCTGCTTTCCCCAAAGCCCTTGACTGCACTTAGATCATTGTCTTCGGTGTCAGAAAACTGACACCGAATCTGGAGTTTACATGAGCAGCGTGGAAGAGTCTCTTCCGCAGAGCTGCATGGAGGAAGCTCCTCCTGACTACCGAGCATTGGGCATGGGATGCATCACCTGGACTGCACAGATGTGTAAAGGGGCACCCTTCTCAAAATATTTTGCTGAAAGTTAAGTTAGGTGTCACTGCTCTCAGATTTGCTCTCTGAGCAAGGCAAACATCCTGATAAGAGGGAAAACCCACCAGGAGTTGCTGGGAAATTAATGCAGTCTATGAGTATGTGCTGCCATCTCGTGGCCAATGTAGAGATGGCACCTCTGAGGGCAGGGTGGGCCACAGGTAACCTGAGGATTGAAGCCCTCTCTGATGGCGCCCTGGAGACAGGGCCACGGGATCAGCCCAGTGATTGCAGATGAGACTTACATGGATGAGCCCCTTGGCCTCAACACCACTCTGCACTTGGTACATCCAAATCCGGGAAGGTCTGGACACATGAAGGGGAGAGGGGGAGAATTTTGACCTCCTTCTGAGAAGCTGAGAACACCCATTGATCTGATGTCATTATTAACATGTAGAAAGTTGATAAGCAGGCCTGAGTTATGTATGTGGCTCCTCCTGGTCTAGTTGGTGTTCTGAAAATCCTTTTCTCAGTGGACATGTGGGTGAGACCAGAGGAGACTGGGAGCCCAGTGCAGGATGGTGGTTAGAAATGTGTGGATGGGGGTGGGAGAGAGGAAACAGTGAGTGGGCTCTGGGGTCAACACCCAGCTACACCCTGGTTATGTGATGTTTATTTATGATGATGGTGGTGATGATTAAACCAATGGTGATAGTGATGGTGTTAATGATGGTGATGGTGATGGTGGTGCTGGTGATGATGGTGGTGCTGGTGATGATGATGGTGGTGATAATGGTGATGGTAATGATAATGGTGATGGTGGTGGAGTAGTGGTGATGGTGGTGGGTAGTAATGATGGTTACAGTGATCATTGTGATGATGGTGATAGTGATCATGGTGGTGGTGATGATGGTTACAGTGATGGTGGTATTGGAGATGGTGTTGATGGTGATTATGATGGTGACGATGGTGGTGATAGTGATGGTGGTAGTAATGATAATACAGATGAGGAAATATAGAGGATAGTGATGATGGTGGCAGTGATAATGGCAGTGGTGATGATGGTGGTGATGGTGATAGTGATGATGGTGGTGGTAATGTTAATGGTGATGGCAGTAGAATTGTGGTGATGGTGATGTTGGTAGTAGCGGTGGTAATGATGATGGTGGTGGTGATGGTGATGTCATGCTGATAGTAGTGGGACAGTGGTGATGGTGATGGTGGTAGTAGTGGTAGTGGTAGTAATGATGATGATGGTGGTGGTGATGGTGATGGTGATGATGTTGAGAGTGATGATATTGGTGATGGTGGTGGAATGGTGGTGATGGTGATGGTGGTAGTAGTGGTAGTGGTAGTAATGATGATGGTGGTGGTGATGGTGATGGTGGTAATGATGTTGACAGTGATGATATTGGTGATGGTGGTGGAATGGTGGTGATGGTGATGGTAGTGCCAGTAAGAATGATGATAGTGGTGGCGATGATGTTGATGGGGATGATGGTGGTAGTGGTGGACGGTGATGATGATGATTATGTGTAATCTTAATCCTCACAATTATCTCATATGTAAGATGAGAAAGCGGAGGCTAAAAGAGATTAAATAACTGCCCAATGTCACATGGAAGATGGGAGAGCCAGAACTCACACCCAGATCCTTATGATTTTAGCTTCATGCTTTCATCAGTTGAGGTATCATAGAGGCTCTGTTTGCTTTCTGGCTGCCCAGCAGCTTTTTGCCCTACCTCCCATAATCCTCTTGAAGGATCTATCTAACTTTTGCCCCTTATGGGTATTAGTGGGGTCTTGCCTTCACCTCCAACATGGAACAATTGGTGCAGGTCAGAGCCAGTCAGTGATGGGTTCAGGGGCAGGACTGTGACCCAAGTTTGACTTCTCAGAGTGGGCAGACTATTGTTCACATAATTGGGAGAGTGGCCTTTCTTATTCTTTCCCGGTACAGCCACAGCACCACAGCATCTGCAGCCATGGGAATGTCACCTTTGTGCCCCCAAATAGTGCCTACTCCATGATTGGGAGGACCTGGGATTTGGGGCCATCATGTGAGCCTGAAAACTTTGCAGCTCACTAAGAATTTCCCTTGTTTTGCTTAATCCAATTTGAGTTGGATTTTCTGTCACTTGCAAGAAAGAATCATGTTAGATATAATTCTATTCTTTATTAGTAGTAGGAGCTGCCATGATGGAGTGCTTAGGATGTGCTCAGCACTTGATGCACTTTCTTATTATTTCCCCCATAACAGCCCTGCAGCCCACATCAGCTGAGGAAACAATCAGCGAGAGCTCACGACTTTTCTAAGTCCTGACAGCCCATAGGCAGGAGCCAGGGTTCCAATTCAGGTTTGTCTGTACCACCCTCCACCTTCTCTGAGCCCCAGCTTCCTCAATGGTAAAATAGGAACAATAATACCTAACTCACAGTGGTTTGTAGCATTTAAATTTTAAAATATGCAAACACCAGGAGCAGCCTCCCACACCCATAGGTGCCCCTCATTTGCCAAGTTTCCTTTTACCTGGCCTCAGTGCTCCCAGACTCAGCAGTGCAGAAAAAGGGAACAAGGAGTCAAGGAGGTGAGGTTTTAAAAATAATAGGAAAATGACAGAAAAAGGGAAGCCTACTTTGAAATTATCTAAACCTGTGGTTTTTAATCTTTTTAAAAACACAAAAAACATTTTATCAAATCAAAGCTTATGCAAAAGGCTGATGTGCAAAGCACCATTTGAAAATGCTGGTTTTACAGATAAGGGATTAGAGCCAAGTGGTACAAAGAGGTAACGTGTCTAGTTCAGGTCTATCTGGCAAGTGGCAGAGTCAGAACAGTTTTCCAGGGCCCCAGACTCCCAGTGCCCTTGCCTGCACCTCTGAGAAAGTAGAGCTGAGACTTTAAGACAGTTTCAGTTTTCCTACTGCCAAGGGGGTAAGGCTGACGGATATAATTATTGTCAGGGCATACCGCAAAGAGAAGAAGGAATCCATAAAATGTAGTACAGGTGCTGATACCACATCATGCACAAAAATATTCCCTCTCTTGCTCTCACCCATCAACCAATACCAAATGCCATCCTAGACTTGGGGCCATGGGAACTGTCTGCCTCTCCCCCAGCTTCAGGTCCCCTGCCTAACACCCTCACACACACATTAGACATGTGGGTATTTGGGAAGAAGAATAGTTTAATTACAACTTTTGTCGTTACTGTTTTGCACCATGTTTAGAAACGCAGTCTGTCTAATTTCACATGAAAAATAATCTAACACCCTTAACTTGAGGGCTGGGTCAAAACCCCACTTACCTGGGGAAGCAATATGAATGCTGAAATTATGATTAAGAGACTCAAAGACCTCTACTGGTGTTTGTTTTTGTTGTAAGGGAAACATACAATCATTACAAAAAAAATTAAAAGATTCTGAAAACAAAAAAGAGAGAGACTCAAGGAAATGGCACCGCTCCCCTTGCCCAAGTCCCTTGAAGACTGATTATGGAGACATAGACAGGTGTCCAGGCAAAGTCAGGAGTGGGTAGACCACATTCATGGGTAGGAATTTGTACAACTATCTCCAAAATGCTCATTTTGTAACATGCACTGAAGGTCAAAAACAATTTGTTACGTGGGCAATGGAATTGATCTCACCTTGGGTTTCTCCCCAGCCAGTGATGTAACATTCAGTCCTGGCGGTGACCATGTAGTCTGGGGATGGCAGACAAGCTGGCATTACTTTGTCAGTGATGACGGCAGGCCTGTAAGGAAAGTATTAGCAGTTATGTTTCACTGCCCAGCTGGAAGTGGCAGTACCTACAACCAGGCATCCCTGCCTTGAAGCCCCAGAGCCCTCTGAGCTGGCACTGCCTTGCTTCACTGACACAGAACAATGTAGAACACAGCGTTTCACCCTCACATTTGCCTGTGGTTGCCTATGGACTACACAGATGTAAGGTTTCATTTGAAAGGCATCAGTTGCATGCAAGAAACTGAGGGTGGCCTTAGCCTTTGAAAGTAGGGATGACAAAGGCACACTTCTCATGTATATTCTGTGCACGATTGGAATCTCATGCCAAGTGTGTCCTTTCATATTAATTGAAGAGGGCATTGATGACTGGGCAGAATGTCTGGCTGAGACATCATCAAGAGGGTATAAAATTGCAAATGCCTTGTGTGCCCAGAGCAAGTTGCTCCATCTGGATCCTCCACTTCCTCCTCGTGAATGTTACTAAACCGTGGTGGTAAGAATGCAGTAAAATGCTAGACATCAAATGAAAGAGGATGGGAAATAAGCACCTTGCATGAACTAAATGGTATTGTTTTCCAAGGACATTCATATACCTTAGAATCCCAGGGACTCTTAAAGATTAGAACTCTGGTTTTTAGACCTGATTCTACTTTAGTAAGTTCAAGGGGATAAAGGAATGGAAATGAGAAATGCCGTATTCTGACCAAAAATCATCATTAGCACCAACTTTGAAGCAGACACACTTTCTGCTTCTGGACACTAGAAGGCCCAGCCTGTGATGCAGATGTCCTCACTCTACAGGTTCCCTCATGGAGCACTAAATGCCCTAGACTCTAGGGGTGTGGGGATGTGCGGTGGGAACTCTAAACTCAAAACGTATCAGCCTATCAGAGAATGCCTCCAAAACCCCACATTTCCTAAGTGACTTGTTCAAGCCATCAGAACACCCCAGCTCTCTGAGGACCATGAGGAGCAGAGATCTTGTATTTGCACATTTGCTGGGATGGTGGGGAGGACCCTGGGGAGCAAGAGGGAGATCAGCTACTGTTTATAAAGGCTGAGCCAGAAAGGCCCTTCTCTCCTTCCTAGAGTGTCAGAGGATTCCAGGACATCACCCCTCAGTTCACAGACCCAGAGAAGCTGCCATGGGCTTGTGACCAGGCCCAGGAGAGCAGCTCAGGCTCCTGCCTGCCCCATGCCTTCCCAACCAGGCCATGCTCATCCCTGTCTGCATTGACACCCTGCCTTCCAGAGCCACCAGCACAGCGAGCACCCCACATGCCTTGTCACCTGTCCCAAACCTGCCTCTCCTACAAATACTGTTTCTTAGCTGATTGTACTGTCACCTAGGTCCAAATAGACTAACTTTAAGTGATGTAAGCAAAGGTATCACTTTGTCAGGCTTAATAAAACAAAATTTCACCAGGAAAGAGAAAATCAAAGAAGACAACAATAATATTATTATTTGCATTTGTAAATTGTATGTTGTGTGGGTTTTTTTTTTTTTTGACATTGTGGAATATTTCTGTTCATTTGTTTTGTTTTCTTTTCTTTTGTTGAGACAGGGTCTTGATCTGTCACCCAGCCTGGAGTGCAGTGGCACAATCATAGCTGCCTACAGCCTTGAAGTCCTGGGCTCAAGCAATTCTTCCTCGTCAGCCTCCTGAATAGCAGTGATTAGAGGCGCCCACACTAAGCATGGCTCGATATGGTGGTTTTTCAAGCGCTTTGAAATGCAATCTCATTTGATTCTCTCCAGCATATTATTATGAAAGGAGAATAGTTAGCCTGGAATAACAACCTTTCCCTGATCATGAATGTGGATGAACTGGTGAACATTAAGTAAGTTTTACGGGTAACAGGGTATCTCTTTTTCCACGTGAGGAAACGAATCCTTCTGCCTTTTTAAAGAGCACAACTAACATGTGGCAGGGCTGGGGTTGAAGATTGATGCTGTCCCCAAAGCCCTTGAGCCTTTCATGTGATAGACAGTTCCTCCCCACTGCCATGCAGTGGCCATGGCCCATAAAACCCAGACATAAAGCAAATATCTTCACCAGCGTGGGGTGAAGACCACAGGTGAGCGAGTACCTGCTTAGCTTTAGCAAGGCAATATCTGCTTGTGTGGGCTCCAAGAACAGCCTAGACACTTCTATTTCCTGAACATGAGATTCGAGGTTCACTTCTTGGTGTGCACCCAGGATGACCTTGTAGGATGAAGGCCTTGAGGACCTAGAAAAGATGAGGATGTCAAGAGAAAAATATGGTCCAGCCCCTTCAGGTATCCTCTGTGCCATGAACTTGGCGCTGTCCCTCTGACACCCTCGGCCACCCAGAATCAGTGACTTATGAGTGGCAAGAAACAAAATTCACAATTTGCTGGAAACTGACAGTTAAGGTCTGTTCTCAATCTGTTTCATCAGAGACTGTGATATAGTTTGTATATTTGTCCCCACCTAAATCTCGTGTTCAACTGTAGTCCCCAGTGATGGAGCTATGGCCTGTGAAAGGGGTTTGGATCATAGAGGTGCATCCCTCTTGAATGGCTTGGGCCACATCTTCATGGTGATCAGTGAGCTCTCACTCTTAGTTCTTGCAAAGTCTGGTCATTTGGTATTGTGCAGCACCCCCACCCCATCTCTCTCTGTCTCTTGCTCCTGCTCTGGCCATGTGACATGCCTGCTCCCACTTTGCCCTCCACCATGATTGTAATCTTCCTTAGGCCCACACAGAAGCAGAGGAGATGACAGCATCCTGCTTCCTGTAAAGCCTGCAGAAACATGTGCCAATTAAACTCTTTTCTTTATAAATTATTCAGCCTCAGATATTGCTCTAGAGCAATGCAATACAGATTGATGCCTCTGGTAGTGAACAGCTCTGTCCTGCGGTTTATACAGGTCCAAAAAATCACTTGCACTGGGTCTTCCCTCTGCAGATTCCCTCTAGAAACACTTCCCTCCTCTCTCATCCAATTGCCCTGGAAATTCTGCCTCAGGATTCTGCATGCATTCCCTGGTTCCTAGTGTTCCTTCCAGAAAAGGAAGAGAGGTGGGGAGGAAGGAAGGGGAGGGTGGGAAGAAAGAAGGGATGGAGGAAGAGAGGGAGGAAAAAAGTCTTGAAGATAAGACCCCATGTCAGTTTTCCCTTAAACGTACTTCTTCAAGCAGTGAGCAGCAGTCAGCACCCACTCTGGGGATATTAAGGTGCCTCCACAGAAGTGCTTTCCAAACCTAGAAAGAAAACATGCCAAGGCTTTGGTCAAATTGGATGGTTTGTTCTACTTCATTGTACAGAAAGCCAGGAAGACAAGTTCACTCAGTTTTGATCATGTTCATATTCCCAAAGCAAAGGACTACCGCCCAACGTCAGGATAGTAGAAACTTCGAGCTGTGCTCCAGTAGTGAGATTTTTCAGAAGGGCCCATCTGTGCCACTTTTTTTGATGCCTGAGGCAAGAATAGGCACAGCCTGTCCCCAGGAGAGCAAAGCTAAGTGACTCCAGAATGAAGCTCTATAGCTGTGGCTTTCACCCCACAGCCCTGGACTCTGACAAAAGTGACCAGCCCAAGACCTTCCCAAGGTCTCTTTCATTTTTTATGACAAGATCTATGCAAGGTCACTCTTCAAGGAGCCAGATACGATCCTGAGCAGCAGTGACTCATGAGGGTCTTCTGATCTTACCTGAAAAGTTTACTTTTGGGGGATGTTTCTTGACTCACTTACTTTCTAGGACTGTGTAGGCAGTTGATAGATCAGAATAATGGTGTGAGCCACTTGGAGCCAGATTGCAACGAAGAGGAATAGAGATAGGAAGTGCATGATGGCAGTATGTTGATAGTCAGTGAGGACATAGACCACCACACAGTTTAGGAAAGAATGAATCTGAAATATGTGGAAGGTGAAAGCTCTGTAGAGCAAGAAGTTACAAACGATAAAGTAAAGAAAAATCAACTCAACAGCAGAGTGAAATGCGATGCGATCAGGTTTGTCGATGGCATTTCACAAACTTACAGAAGGAAGTCTCTTTAGAGGAGAACAGCAATTGAGCACAGGTGCCCTGGTGTAGAAAGGAGATGAGGAAGCAAAACATGCAGGCAGATGGGTCTGTGTCCTATGTGTTCTTCCTAAGAGACACCCAAGCAAACTGAACTTACGAATTGCATGTTCCACTGAAACGATACCCAAAATGTCCAGGTTCTGTGGGTTCGGACTGATTACTCTTCATTTATGGGGATCACAACCCATAATTTGTTCATGTGTTTGTGAATAGATGAATAGCCTCGGCATTGAATTCAATGATTCACAAAAGTGTAAAAAAAAATCTGTGCCTGTGATAGACTGTAGGTAAGTTTGCTCTTGTCCTCCCTCACTGCAAAGTGTCACATTTCTAAAAACTTCCCTTTCTTTTCATCTGACAGTGAGACAATGGATATCCATAGAAACCCTCAGAGCATCTTCAATATTTTCCAAAAGTATTGGAACTTGGTGCAAATCACTGTGCCTACAGATTTTGATGGAACTGCCCAGATCAAGAAAAAGATTTGTATTTTGGCTATTTTCCAAGTAGAGAACCTATAATAATATAACTTTTTTTAATTTTTCTATATTTTTTCCTCCTTCAGAAAACAGAGAGGCAGGTATTGATGCATCAGCTGTGTGGGTTCTGTGTAAATGTAGAAGGGTTTTGTGGGGCTTACATGGAAGGACAGTATAGATGGTTTCTGGGCCTGTTCTTACCTTGTTCTGAGACTGACTTGCCAGGGCCAGGAATGTGGGTGGGCCACACACCCCCCTACAATGCTTCCAGGACATTTCTTCGGCTCCACTTGAGGCTTCCCACAATCAAATGAAGAGGATGCTGTGGCACAAGGTGGGAAAAGAAGTCGCATTTGAGTCCAAGTTAGCAATTGTGTCGTTTAATTCAGGACGAATTCCAAGCACTAGTTTTTCACATCTCAAAGGTGAAATTAAATGGTAAAATCATAAACACTCTTTAGATTTTTCTTTCTAAGTTTAAAAAGTGGTAGTAAACAACAAAGGACACTCTCCTTTCAAGGAAATATAAGTTCTTTCTAAACCATGTAAAGTTTACTGAAAGGCACAAAGGATTCTTTTGCATGTGAGTCTCTGTGTGTGGACATATGTGCATGTGTGTATGTGATTTTATGTAGCAAGGATAACTGTCCTATGTTGAAATGTTGCCTTCTCTCAGCCAGCTTCAGGACAGTTCTTCTGGGGAGCCTCCCATGACTAACTGACTGCTGTGGGGGTAATTTACACACATGTGCCTCTATTCTTCTTTTCCTCCTCCCTGCCTTCTCTCTGCAGCAAGCCCACAAGGTCTCTGGAGGTAGGGAAAGTGTCCCATCTTTGGTACCACCCATCAATGCCTACAACAGTGCAGGGGCTACAGAGGGTGTTCAAAAATGCTTCTCTGTTGTCTCCAGCCCTTCAAGGTCTTCAAAACTATAAATATTAATATAGTTAATAATTATTCATATAATTATTAATAACAACTGCAAGAGGAAATTCCTCCCCAACCAACCAGAGATTCTACACTCCAGTGAATCTGGAACCTGAGTTTTCCAAATAACTTTTCATTTGCTGTGGGTTGTTTTGAGAATCTATCTATAGAAGTCTTTTGTAAAAAAGAAGCATGGCATGGAATGCAATCATCTTTTCTAGTGCTGAGCTCAATTTCTGCTAGTATGCCTTACATACAGTAAACATGCATCATTGTACTAAAAGAGTAACTACAGAAATTATACCCTACTCCTACTATTCAAAATAAAACTGAATGTTTCTATTTATTTTTACTTATTTATTATTCGTACTGAATGTGTTGGTGGAAATGAAATAGTTATTAAACTCTTTCTCCAACCAGAGGCTCTAACTTTCTCAATCATGAGTCAAACCTGAATATCCCACCAACCACATCCTTCTGCAGGAAACAGTCCTCAGGATTTCCAAGTGTCTGATGGGAACCCTCCTCACCAGGCTTGGGGTTAACCTCACTTGTCTTACATCAAAGTAAGGTGGGGAACCTCACAGTCCATTGGAAGAAATCTTGTTCCCATTCTTCCTTCTTTCTCCAATCTCTAAGAACCTGATTCTCATACATCCTCAATGTGGGTGAGGACAGCAGAATTGCACCTGGGAAGCTACTGCACTTCCCTTCCATGGGAGTCAAAGGTGCATGAGTCCCAGGCACTACTGTGGGTGTTTGAGGCAGGTAAGTCAGACTGGGCTTAAATTCAAGGCAGCCTGTCAAGGATAGAGAGCCCAGGCAGTGAGAGGCAGTGGCGTGTACTAGATGGGGCCAGAAGCGGAGAACTGGAACTGACCCCATCAAGAGACTTTGAGGTAGAGGAACCACCAAGATGCTTCTGCAATAGCACCGACAAAATAGAACAAAAGCACCCACTCGAGAAAAAAGTCAGCTATCAACTCACACTAAATCCAGAGACCACAATGCCACATTATAATAATATTGGCCAAGTAGAATCTTTCCTATCACCCTAACCTCTCCTTCTTCCCTCTTGCTCTCCCCAGGAGTGGCCCAAATGTGACGATGGGCAGTGTGGCTCCCATGATCTTCATCACTGCCCTGTACCACCTCCCCAGGCAATCTCAGGATGCTGGTCTTCAGTGGACTTGGAGGCCAACCTTCTTCCCCCAGCTCAAGGTCCCTTCACATGGCAGACCCAACCACAAGCAACCAAATTACACAAAAGAAAAGTCCAGGGTGGTGTTCTGTAACTCGGACAGACAAGTTGATTGGTCAGCAGGAAGAAAATAGGGAACAAGTACAAGTGGCTTTTTTTCCCCCATGGATTTGTTACCCCAATCATTTAAGATCTAATGTCAATTCCCCTTCCCCTGATCCAAGCCTCATACTCCCAATAAGAGTCTCAGAGCAATGAGGAAGGAACCTAACAAGCAGTCTCTAAGCAATGTCGCTAATGGGACTCATGAGTAGTAATCTTACGAGAAAGGCCATCTGGGGCTAAAGAGCTGCACTACCCTTCATTGATTTCCTAGGATGGCCATCTGAGGTTTACAATGTGCATTACATGCTTAGCTGTTTCCTGCTGCTCGTATTTTTTTTTTCTTCTCAGCTGCAGAAGAGGACAGTTTTTCATCATAATGACTCTAAATTTGTTTTTCATGCATCCCACGCTAGACAAAGAAGGGTTCGGTGGGACTATCCCGGGCTGATTAGATCACCTCTAAGTTTGCCCTTTGGGAATTTGACATTTATTTTATTTATGTGTGTGTGGTGGGAGGGGCGGGTGTTTTCCTAACAAATGGGGCCAATAGTAGGGCAGGTTCAAGGTGGCCATGATGAAAAGCAGGCTCTGGTGGAGAGGGCAGCCATCTCCTCCCCAGAAGCACTCAGCTCAAAAGCCATTTTCTGTTTTTTTTGCTTTTTTTTTTCCAAATCCATATTAAGGAAGCAGTTTCCTTACCAAAACAGAAGGCAACTTACCACAGAGAGGGATATCACAGTAGTCAAAAAGTTTTCTTGGATTCATTGTGTAGCACCAGGGACCATTGATGTCACCATCAGGGTTACGGCAGTACTGAAAACAAGCAGGCATGTAAGCTCCAGCTCACGTGGAGCAGGAGAGGGAGAAGATATTCTAAGGCACACACATTTCACATCTATTCTTAGAAGACAAAAGGGAGCGTTCCTTCTTCCTTTCTATCATTATTATATTTTTTGACAAAGTTATTTCTTTCTATGCTGTAAGCCATCAGTCATAGTCAAAAGGAGTTATGAGGCCACACCCTTAACCAGGGTGTGGTGACCCTGAAGGGTCTTTGGAGAATGTGCCACTTCTCCAGGAGCTTGACCCACTGGAGGTCTTAGAGCTAGAGCCTCAGAGGACAGTGGGACATCATTGATGAGCTTTGTCCCTGGGGCGCTGAGGGGTCTTCTACCTGATAAAGCCTGTTTGCTGTTGATTCAGAAATGCTTACTTCCATGCATTATGCACCATCCACAGCCAAGACACACAAAGGCAGTATCATCCTTAGCTTCCTGTGATATTGTGATAGAATAAGAAATGTATATTGGGTCTCTGCCCCCCAGTTCTTAACACAGAGCTCCTAAATCCCTTGGAGTTTCCTGGGTGAAGGGAGCTGCAATGAAGCAACTCTTGGTGGGTTCCTGGATAGCCCCAGGGGCTGGTTGCCAAGGGAACCAACCATGTGACTTGAGGGTTGGAACTGTTCAGCCCCACCCTCCAACCTCCAGGGAGGGAAGAGGGGCCGAAGGTGAGCCGATCACCGATGGCCAATGATGTAATCAACTGTGCCTCTGTAATGAAGCCTCCATAAAAACCCAACAAGACTGCACTTGGAGAGCTTCTGGGTTGCTGAACACTTAGGGTACTGGGGACTGGTGCACTGGAGAGGGCATAGAGGCTCTGAGCCCCTTCCCACGTGCCTTGCCCTGTGCATCTCTTCCACCTGGCTGTTCACCAGGATCCTTTTTAATATCTTTTATAATAAATGGGTAAATAAAAGTAACGTGTTTCCCTGAGTTCTGTGAGCCACTCTAGCAAAGTAATCAAACCCATGGAGGGTCATATAGAAAAACAGATCTTTATCCAGCTGGGCAGAAGTACAGGTCACAGCCTGCAACTTGGGATTGGCATCTGCAGTGGGGCAGTCTTGTAGGACTGAGCCTTAACTTGTGGGATCTGACACTGTCTCCAGATAGAGTGTCAGGACCGAGTTACATTGTAGGACACCCAGCTGGTATCTGCTGGAGACTCGCTTGGGGTGTGAGGAGAAATCCCCCCATATCTGGTGTGAGAAGTGTTATGTTACATGGGTGTGAGAGTGGGGGAACACAGACACTTTGGTTTTTCCTATATCTCAGTCTTCCCTATTCATAGGCCCCAAAGTAAACCATCACAGAGAATGCATGAGGCTAAGGGAAGTCTCATGGTGACCTGATGGCCCATCCAAATCTTTTCTAGAAAAATCTGACTTAAGCCTCATAGAGGGCATCTCTGACTACTAGAACCCAGAGCAGTGTGGTTCCCCAACTTTTTTGGCACCAGAGACCAGTTTCATAAAAGGCAATTTTTCTGTGCACCTGGGGTGAGGGGGCGATGGTTAAAGGATGACTCAAGTACCTTCCATTTATCGTGCACTTTATTTCAATTATTATTACATTGTAATATATAATGAAATAAATGTGCATCTCACCATAAGGTAAAATCAGTGGGAGCCCTGAGCTAATTTTCCTGCAAGTAGGTGGTCCCATCTGGGGGTGATGGAAGCATGACAGATCATCAGGCATTAGATTCTCATAAGGAGCATGCAATCTAGATTCCTCACATGTGCAGTTCACAATAGGGTTTGTGCTATGATAATCTAATGCTGCCTCTGATCTGACAGCTGGCAGAGCTCAGGCAGCTATGAGAGTGATGGGAAGCAGCAGAAAATACAGATGAAGCTTTGTTTGCTCCCCCGAAGCTCACCTCCTGCTGTGCAGCCCAGTTCCTAACAGGCCACAGATAATTACCAGTTCCAGTACCAGTACCAGTACCAGTACTGGAGTGGGGACCCCTGGCTTAGAGGACAAGCACTAGAAACGAGAAACAGCACCCAACAATGGAAACAGTAAAGAAATGTCAAAAGAGAAGAGGCCTGAGAACCCCCACACGCGTGGGGCTTTGCTGGCCTGTGCTGCTTGCACTTTCCATGCTAAGGCTAATTACGCTTAGCCTCCTGAAGTCTTTCCAGTATTTTCCTCTGCCCCTCTTCTGTTTGAAAAGATTTGTCAGCAAAGGGAAAAAGAGTCCAAATCAAAGTGGCTTACATTTTTTTCCAGACCTGCCCATTTATTTGTCCCTGGAATGAACGTGCTGTGTCTATGGGGCTCCTGGGCAGCCCATTCCTGGCATGGCGTCCCAGTAACAGTGGTTGCCTTCTTGCCCCGGTATCCTTTCCCATTCCCAAACATACAGTCTGTAGAAAAAAATAAAAATAAAACAGATGATTACAGACAGCCAGGCAGCCACATAGACCCAGGACGATACAGAATCAATGCAGTCATGTCAGGCTTCTCTAGGACGACAGAATCAGGGGCCACATCCCTCAGGAGCCACAACGCTGAAGACTGCAATGAACACTATTTTAAGAAATTACTGGAAATGCTTATTGGCTTGGAAATAATCACACAGTTGACAGCATGTTAGAATAGGAATTTGACTGGGACACTGAAATAACCCATTTTAGAATAAGGTGAGTGGTTAAGTTGAGCACCCTGGAGGTTTTGCGCCAGTCCTAAAGTCACTACTCCCACAAGTTGTGCCAAAAATCACAGCTCTGGCTTTCCCAGGGACGGCACTGAGACTTCCTTGGTCATGGCAGAACCTCAACCAACACTCGAGCTCCCGTGTAGCACTAAAGGCTTCTGCATCAGTGTGGTTTTTCATGTCTTTTCATCCCGTTGTCCAAGCACATAGAGAGGTATGTGCTAGACAAGGTAAGACACAGACTTCTTACCTTGTTCAGAAGGAGGCCCTAGGCTTGGAACCTGGATGACAGTCGGAGGAGCGACCACAGTCCCTTCTGTGTCTGAGCATCGCGTCAGGTTGCAGTACTCCCACCTGATGCTGGGGTCCATGGTAAAACACCAAGGGCCTGTATCGGCATCTGGATTCCTGCAGTAGTTCATTGTCAGGCCACTGGAAATTCCAAAGCAATACAAGTTACAGGAGGCGGAAGAATATTCAGGGACATCCAGCACCCTCTACATTTTGTTCTAACAAAGTCTTAACAAGTGTCTTTGAAATATTCCCATTAAAGGTATCATACAATTGCCACAACACAAATGTTCCTCAACTTCCCATTTGTGCATGCCTTTCAAAGATAGATGATAATTTTTATTTTAAAATATCAAAAGTAGTATATGCTTGTATTAGCCCGTTCTCACATTGCTATGAGGAAATACCCGAGACAGACTGGGTAAGTTACAAAGAAAAGAGTTTTAATTGACTCACAGTTCCACATTGCTGGGGAGGCCTCTGGAAATTTACAGTCATGGCAGAAGGCAAGGGAGAAACAGGCACCTTCTTCACAGGCGGCAGGACAGAGTAAGTGCAAGTAGGGGAAATGCCAGACACTTACAAAACCATCAGATCTCAGGAGACTCTCTCACTGTCATGAGAACAGCCTGGGAGAAACTGCCCCCATGATCCAGTTACCTCCACCTGGTCCTGCCCTTGACACATGGGGATTATCAGGATTATAGAGATTACAAGTCAAGATGAGATTTTGGGTGGGGACATAGCCAAACCCTATCAATGCTCCATATAAAAACTGAGATCATACATAAATGTGCAAAAGAAAGGAACCAGAATACCCTCCTTCTACCTTCTGCCAAGCACATACCCCTAGAGGAACCGGTATACGGATTTTGATGTGTGTCTTATAGATTGTTATGCATATACAAATGCGTCTATACCTGTCTAACTCTCTGTATCTCTTTCTACAGGACTGTATAGTAACATGTGAGTTGGAACTAACATATATTTCTCCAAGGAGGAAATGCCATCCAAGATGATATCATTCCCAGGCCAGCCTCCCTTACTCTCTGTACTAGTCGTGTAGCTAAAAGGCTCTGCATTTACAGTGAAAAACAACCATGAAAATAGCATTATTGTCAATACCACTTCAGGTGGGTCAAGTGAGTTTGAGTCTAAAAGACTTATAAAAGCTGACCTGGAAGACTAGGTCCCAGGCAGGATGCTGTTTCTCTAGGATGGGTTCCTGGGCAGAACCTCCTCTCCTACTCTCAGTCCATCCTCTACTGGCCACAGCCACTGCGGGACTGACAGAAGGGGGATGAGATGAAGGAACAGTGGGACCCAAGGCATAAAGTGAGAGGGCTGGCTAGACTATGGGATCTGAAAAGGTCCACCAGCTATGGAGGGTTCAGAAAAACAATTGAGTAAGTGAGAGGCACAGGCTGGGTGCTTTGGCTCACGCCTGTAATCCCAGCACTTTGGGAAGCCAAGGCGGGTGGATCACGAGGTCAACAGAGCGAGACCATCTTGGCCAACATGGCAAAACCCCGTCTCTACTAAAAATACAAAAATTAGCTGGGCGCAGTGGCGCACATCTGTAGTCCCAGCTACTCATGAAGCTGAGGCAGGAGAATCTCTTGAACCCTGGAGTTGGAGGCTGCAATCAGCCGAGATTGGGCCATTACACTCCTGCCTGGCGACAGAGCGAGACTCTGTCAAGAAAAAAAAAAAAAAAAGCACAGCCGGTGAGGACCCCGGTGGTGGGGGATCTTGGAGAATGTGCTCCCCTTCGTTCCTCCCAGGAATGTTGCTCCAACCTCTCAGAATCCTCACATTCATGACATGTGGCTGTCTGAGAAACCTTGAAATGTATTATGTACCGTGGGAATGCAACATTGTCTCTGTAGAGACTCTATACATGTGACCCAGTCTCAAGCCCAGATTCTCCATTCCAGCAAGCTGGTTCTCCAAGCAGCTGGCTGTGTTAGCAAGTATAGTATATGAGGGAGGTTATTGATCTATTTTCAACTGAGGTATATTTTCATGTATAGTCAAATGCACAGATCTTAGATGTAGTTTGATGACTTCTGATGAACATGTACACTTGTGTAACTCACACTTCAATCACAATACAGGACATTTACATCACCCCAGAAAAAAACTTCGTTTTACTGCTCAATCAATCTCTGCTACTCTCTTCCCATGGCCAGAGGCAAATGATATTGGTTTCTTTCACCAGAAATTAGTTTTACCTTTCTGGAACCTTACATCAATAGACTCATACATAATGTTCATTTTTGTTATCTGGCATCTTTCTTTAATGTAATATTTTTGAGCATCTTCCATACTATTTGAGAGTATCAAAAACATGCTCCCTTTTATTGCTGAACAGTATGCCATTGTATGACTAGTTCACAAATTATTTATTCATTTTCTTATTGATTGACATTGAAATTGTCTACAGTTTGGGGTTATAAAAAATAAAGCTGCTATGAATATTCTTGGAGATGTCTTCGTGGACTTATGTTTCCATTTCTGTGGGGTAAATATTCACAAACAGGATTGCAGGTTTGTAGGGTAAAAGTGCATTTATTGAACTTTTGGAGAAACTATCAGACTGATTTCAAAAGTGGTTGTATCATTTTGCACTTTCACCAGCATATGAGAGAGTTTCACATCCTTGCTCTACATCAGTGACATCAGTTACTGTGGTGTCTTCTTAATAATATCCATGTCCATTGGGTGTTTGGTGACATCTCATGATGATTATAACTCTTTATTTTTCATGGCTGAGATACTGGACATTTTTTCAGGTGCTTATTGGCTATGTGTACATCTATCTATCCCCAAGAAATGCCTATTCAATCTGTTGCCCATTAGTTGTTTGTCCTCTGTTTAGTGAGTGGGAGAAATGTTCCTATATTCTGGACACAAGCCATTTGTCAGATATATGGACAGAGAGCATTTTTCTTCTCATGTGTTACTTGCCTATTTATTTTCTTAACAATGACTTTTGGTAAGCATGAGTTTTCATGAAAGCCCACATTATAATTTGTTTTATTTTATAGTGAGTGTTTACAGACTCCTGCCTCAAAAAAGTTTGCCTTCTCCAAGGTTGTGAAGATTTTATATTTTTTCATGGAACTTTCATATTTCAGGTTCAGTTTTAGCTCTGACACTTAGGTGGAAGAGATATCAAAATAATTTGAGATGAAAAGCAAAAGTCAAGTTCTGCTTTTGTTTTGTATCATGGATATCCAAATGGTTCAGAATGATTTTGTAAAACATTTTTGTCTCCATTGAATTGCTTTGCCATCTATACGGAAAATCCATTTACCATATATGTATGTGGGTCTGGTGGTGGGCCATCCCTTTTTAGGTTTGCATACTTTTTTGGCCAATAACACATATCCTTTTTTTTTTTTTTTTTTGAGACAGTGTCTCATTCCATCATCCAGGCTGGAATGCAGAGGCATGATCAATGCTCACTCATGGCTAGACCTCCTGAGTCAAGCAATCCTCTCACCTCAGCATTCCGAGTAGCTGAAACTACATGTGCAAGTCATCACATCGATCTAATTGTTTATTTTTTGTAGAGAGAGGGTCTCACTCTGTTGCTAAGGCTGGTCTTGAACATCTGGGCTCAAGCCATCCTCCAGACTCAGCCTCCCAAAATGTTGGGGTAACAGGCATGAGCCAAGGGGCCAGGCCAATACCACATGTCTTGATTCCTGTACTTTTATAAGTCTTTATATTAAGGTATATAAGTCCTCCAATTTTTTTTTCCAAAAAAGGACTGTTGCAATAGTGCTTGGGTGTGGGTTTCATCCAAAGATCAATTTCACGAGAACTGATATGGAGTCTTTTAATCTATAAGCATGGTGTATATTTAGATCTTTTAATTCTTTCCTCAACATTGTTTTCTAGTGCAAGGTGTATAGTCCTTGAGCATAGTGTGTGAAATTTATCACTAAATATTTTTTGGTTTTGATACTATTGTCAGTGATATTGCTTTAAAACTTTAATTTTCCAAAGGATCATAGCATGTATACAGAAAAAGTTTTTGCACATTGAGCACGTATATACTTTTGTTTCTTCAATTTGACCACATTCACTTATTAGTCTTTAGGAGTGCCTGCATCCATTAATCACCACTCCAGCTTATTTATGATTCAGGTTTTCATGGTATATATCCTTTTTCATATTTTGGTGTTTAAAGTAGATCTTTACACTTAAAGAGTATTTATTCTAAAAAGAACACACTTAGCTGTGGTTTTTATTCAATTTACAATCTCTGCCTTTTATTTGTAATGCTTAATCCTTTTATATTTAATATACTCATAAGGTAGTTCAGTTTGTGTCTACAATAATGCTATGTATTTTCTGTTTACACCATATCTTTTATATTCTTTATTCCTCTTTTTCTTCCTTCTTTTGCATAAAAGGACTATTCCTCTTACTATCCATTCCTCTCAGTTTAAATTTTTTTGGTTGTCCTAGGATTTATAATATCCCACCTTAAACTATCACATTCAACCATCTATTAATATTATATAACTTCATGGATAATGCAAAAAACTCATTAACAGTATACTTCCAGTTATCATCTGCATTATTTGTGCTACTGTTTTTATGAATTTTACTACTACATACGTTGAAACAACAATATATTCCTATTATTTTAATTAATATCACAAATTGTCCTTTAAATACATTTAAAAATTAGATAAATAAGAGTATTTTATATTGACATTGCCATTTGCCATTTCCAGGGCTCTTCATTACTTAGTATGGATTAAAGTTCCCATCTGGTATTATTTTTCTTCTACCTGAATAACTTTCCTTAAAATCTTTTAATACAGAAGCCTGCCTTGGAAACATTCTTTTGTTTTTTTGCTTGTTTCCTCTGGAGGTGGCAGAATACGTATTTACATCACGTTTATTTTAAAGGGTTTTTTTGTTTATTTGTTTGTTTTGGCTGGACATGTCGTCCTAGGTTGATCTGTTTTTATTTCTCTTTATCACTTTAAAGATGTTATGCCATTGTTTCCAAGGAGAAGGCATCGGTCACTTTCATTACTGTCCCTCTATGTAAATGATATTGTTTTCCTCTGGCTTATAAGATTATCCTTGTTATCTTTGATGTTGGACGATTTATCTATAATGTACCCAAGTAAATCATAGAGTTTTGCTTTTAAAAATACTATTTCTGATTCATTGAGCTTCTTGACTGTGAGTTTATCATTTTCTTCATACGTGTAAAGTCTTCAGCCATCATTGCTTTGAGTATTTTTTTCTGTCCCAATATCTCCTTCCCGTCCTTCTGTGACTTGCTTTACCCATATATTAAATCTTTTGCTATTTTCACTGATATCCTTAAGGTTCTATTTATTTTTTTCAGCCTTTCTCTCTCTCTCTTTCTCTCTCTCTCTCTCTCTGTGTGTGTGTGTGTGTGCGCGCGCGCGCGTGTGCGTGTGTGTGTGTCTTACAGATTGTATGGCTTTCATTGAGTTATCTTCTGGTTCACTTTTTCTTCTGTAATGTATAAACTAATATTAAGGCCATCCAGTGAGTATTTTATTAAGGTTATACTTTTTTGTAGTTCTTTAATTTCCATTTGGTTGTTTTACGCATTTGCTTTTTTTTATATTCTGCATTTGTTTCCCTCATGTTCATGTTTTCTTTAAATCTTTGAACACAATTATCATATATACAGTTTTAATTTCTTTGTCAATTCCATCGTTTCTACTATTTCTTGGTCTATTTGTATTGACTGGTTTTTCTCCTAGTTATGGATCACACTAATTGCTTTTTCCTGCCTCATAAATTTTTAAATGATGTCACTCCTTGTGAATGCAACATTACAGAGCACTGTAATCATGTTATTTACCTCCAGTGATGGTTGAGTTTTCTTCTGTCAGGCAGTTAATTTACTTGGAGATCATTTGGGTCCTTTTAGACTTGGTTTTTAAGCTTTACTAGGGTGTTTCTGGGGTAGTCTTTATTCTAAGAAGGCATAAATCCTACTCCTAAAGTATGACTTTTCTGGGGTCTCTACTGAATGCCCGAGATGTTCAATGAGGTGTCTCTCCTCGGGCTGATCAGAACCCCGGTATCCCCCAGTGCTACGTGAGCTCTGGCGTCACCATTGAGCTCACTGTTTCCCTGAATTTGTCCTTTCCCCAGTAGTGGTTCTCTGTCCCACTTTGTAGAATTTCTCCCTGTGCATATGCAGTTTATATTAGACTTCCATGCATATTCCTTCAGCTCCTTTTCACCACAAATTCTTTCTCATTATTACCTAGCATAGAAAATACACATTTTCTTAGCTATCCCAAACTCCAGTCTCTTTCCTCAGTTCAGCAAGACTGCTGTGGTTGGCTTTGGCTCCAATTCCTTGCCCTTCAGTCCAGGAAGGTTCTCCAGGAAGAAAGTCATAATAGTTACGGAGTTGCGCTCATTCATTTCCTTTTCTAAATTATCTCAGTCCTGTACTGTCTCTTGTCCAACATGTGGAAAGTGTTTTTTAATATCTTTTATAGTCATTTATGGCAGAAAGCCAGTTTTTGTCAGACCTGGTTTTTTGTCCATGTACCTGCCCATTTTAATCTCCATATCTGTTTACTTCCTAATTCTCATCTACATTCTTGCTTTTGCTCTTCCTCTCCTGGCAACCCATATCCCTTCAGAAAACTGGAGCTTAGAACCCAGTGTGTTCACACAGGTTTATATATATTAATTATATTATATTATATTATATTATATTATATTATATTATATTATATTATATGTTAGTGTGTGTGTGTGTGTGTGTGTGTGTGTATGTGTGTGTGTCCTGCAAATTGTATGGCTATACAGCTTGCAGCTGTGCAGGCTATAGGGTATTTGGTCATCAGTCAGGGACAGACATAAAAACCTTGCATGTTTCCCTAGAACATATATATATATATATATATGTGTGTGTATATATATATGTATATATATATGAATACTAGTCTGTATGAACATATATATATGAACATATATATGAATACTAACTTATATGAACATATATATGTATATATATACATACTAGTCTGAATAAACACACCTGGTTATATATATACTCATATACATGTGAATTATTTACTTGTGACCCATGACAAAAATGGCAAAAAGCCTTCATTTCAGAGAAGGGAGGTTAGAATGATAGAATTGCATGGGTGAAAGAGTGCATTGATCTTTTATGAGCCTTGTAGAATGGCACTCTAAGTATTTGATCATTTGATCTCTTGAGCTTTATATTAAAAAGACCTCATCAGCTCCATGTAGCCTTCTGCTTCCATCAGACTATTAGAAAAGATAGCAAGCCTAAAATACCTATTCTCTCAGACTCTTTGATCAAAAGCAAAGTTGTCTGGACATTTTGACACACCTTCTGGGTCTAAGGGAAATTTGTCCTAACAAGTTAGCTTGAAGCAAGGCTCTTCTAGGAGGAACTTAAGTTGGCTGTTGCTCCTCTTACAAGTAACATCAAAGACATACTCATTTGGGTAGTTTTCTGGGGTCCTCTGATGCCGGTGTGGTGTCATGGATGACCAAGATTGACATGTCCTTCCTGTGACAGTGGTGGAGAATGTGCCTCGATAACTCTGGCCATTACCATGGTAGCACTGCCGGACCACAGGGGTTTGCTCAGTTGGTGCTGAAAATAGACAAAATCAAGCTGAGTAACTACTAGTATGCAGAAACATGTGAAGCAATTTATGACACAAACAGGACAGTAGTTTCAGAATTATGACTGTTCTCTTTAGTATACTCACAAGCAGAAGGACATGCTGAAGCAAAAACAATAGATTAATAACATTCTAATATTTTAATAAGTTCTTAGAAATTTTATATTCAAAACCTGGTGGGAAAAGGACCTATCAGTGCTCTTACAATTGGAACAAAGACTCATGTGCAAGCTCTTTCGTATGGCTCTCTACTGGTTGTTCATGAAAACAATGAGGCAGGAAACCAGACGATGATGGATTAGGTTATGCAGGCTGTATGGTGATTGGCTGTCAGTAGGGGACAGACATGAAAACCCTGCACAGTTCCCTAGATGATTGCTCCTGAAAAGCCAAAGCCTTAAGCTTCTGGTGGACGGGGCAGTTCATGGTCCTGCATCTAGTACTTGGAGGCAAAGACACATTGCTTCTTAGAGAAGGATGGAGGCTAAAATCTTATTCCCTTACAGTAGAGACAGGGAATCCTCTTGTTCCAGCATCCTGCATTGCAACAAAGCAGAAGTCTACTACCCTTCCTCTCAACACACACCAAAGATGCACGTTCCATGAGAAGAAGGCACAAGAACACCAAGAAATTCCTGCCTTCCAAGCATAGGTGTGCAGAGCCTACCTAAGACTGAAATAAGCCAGAGAAATAGTGTATTCTGTGGTATTTACTGCCAAATAGCCCCAGGATTAGATGGAATAAATATCATCATATTAGGTTTCCCCAGGATGACAAACTCAGCGGCCACATACCTCAGCAACTGCAATGCTGAAGATTGCAATGAACACTGTCCATTTTAATAAATGCCTGGAAACACTCACTAGTGTGAAATTTGGCACAAATTTGGCCTGATGTTAGAATTGGAATTTTGTCTGGAACACCGAGATAACCCCTTTCATAACAAAGTGAGTGGTAAGTCAAGTGCCCAGGTGGGTTTGCACCATTCCTGAAGTCACCGCCCACGCACGTTGCGCCAAAAATTGCTCCACCAGAGAGAGTGCTGAGGCTTCTTTCCACCTGCCATACCCTCAAGTTTCTGTGTAGCATGGAAGGCTTCTGCATCAGTCAGATTTTCCATCTCTTTTCATCCCAATGTTCAAATGTGTAGATATCTGGCCACAGACTTCTTACCTGCTTCAGAATGAGCCTCCATGCTTGGAACTGGAACAACAGTGGGAGTCTCTAGGACACCTGATTCTGTTTCTGAGCATTGTGTCAGATTGCAGTACTCCCACCTCACACACGGATCGGTTGTGTAACACCAGGGTTGTTTCCCAGAATCTGGATTCCTGCAGTAGTTCTCGGTCAGGCCACTGCAAATTCCAAAACAACACAGGTCACAAGAGGCGGGAAAAAATTCAGGGGCACCCAGCGCTGTCTAAACTTTGTTATAACAAAGTGTTAAAAAGTGACGTTGTAATATTCCCATTTTAGGTACAATAATATTCCGAAAAGCAAAAACGGTCCTCAAGTTCTAAAGAACCATGTAAATTTCCAAGATAGATTATAATTTTTATTTTAAAATATCAAAATTGGTCTATGATCCATAAAAAAACTGAGATCATACATAAATGTATACAAGAAAAATTCGGAATATCTTCCTCCTTCTGCCAACTGCATTCCTCCAGAATAAATGACATAGATTTTGAAGAGTGCATTTTAGATTTTTTTTTTTTTTTGTGACGGAGTCTCGCTCTGTCGCCCAGACTGGAGTGCAGTGGCGCAATCTCGGCTCACTGCAAGGTCTGCCTCCTGGGTTCAAGCCATTCTCCTGCCTCAGTCTCCTGAGTAGCTGGGACTACAGGCGCCCGCCACCACGCCTGGCTAATTTTTTGTATTTTTAGTAGAGACAGGGTTTCACCGTGTTAGCCAGGATGGTCTCAATCTCCTGACCTCGTGATCCACCCACCTCGGCCTCCCAAAGTGCTGGGATTACAGGTGTGAGCCACTGCGCCTGGCCTTAGATTTTTTTAATGCACATAAAAATGTATTGGTATCTGTCTCATTCTCTGTGTCTCTCTCTAGGACTCTGCAGTAACATGTAAATTGTAACTGATATATATTACTTCAGGGAAGAAACAACATCCAACATGATACCATTCCCAGGCCAGCCCCTTTATTTACTCACAGTGTAGCTAAAAGGCTCTACTTTTAGAGTGAAAAGCAATTATGAAAATAGTATTACTGTAAATAACATACCAGGTAGATCAAGTGTGTCTGGCTTTACAAGACTTATAAAACCTGCCCTAAAAAACTAGCTCCCAGACAGGATGCCATTTCTCTAGGATGGGTTCCTGGGCAGGACCACCTCTCCTGCTCTCAGTCCATCCTCTGCTAGCGGCAGCCACTCCGAAACTGAGGGAATGGAGGATGAGATGAAAGAACAGTGGGACCCAAGTCATAAAGGGCGATGGCTGGGTAGACAATGGGATCTGAAGAGGTCGAGTGGCTACAGAGGAGTCAGAAAACAATGGAGTAAGAGGCACAGAAAGCAAGGACCCTGGGGTGGAGGGATCTTAGAGAATGCACTCCCATTCATGCCTCCTAGGAACGTTGACCCAACTTGTCAGAATCCTCAGATTACTAACCTGCAGCTCTCTGAGAAAACCTGAAACGTATTATGTGCCATGGGAAAGTTTAGAGACTCTATGCCTGTGACCTAGTCTCCAGCCTAGACCCCCATTTGAGTAAGCTGGTTCTCCAAGCAACTGGATGTGCTAAAAGGCTGAGCGTTTAAAAGCAATTTCTGCCCTTTTTACAGTTGAGATATACTTTCCCACAGAGTGAGATGCACAGATCTGCAATGTTGTTTTTTTGATGATTTTGGATCAACACCTATACCTGTGGAGCCCAAACTCCCATCACCACACGGAACATTTCTGTGACCCCAGAAACTCTCTTGAGTCCCTACCCAATTAATCTGTGCTACCCCCTTACCACTGCCAGAGGCAAATACATTGGTTTCTTTCAACAGAAATTAGTTTTTCCTCTTTTGGAGGAAATGTAAATGATCTCATGTAAATGAACTCATACAGAATATACATGGCTTCTTTCCTGAGTATATTTTTGAGCTCCATCCATGCTATTTAAGATACTCAGTGCTGAATAGTATTCAAGTGTACCAGTAGGTTGCAAATTATTTTTTCATTTTGTTATTGATGAACATTGAAATTATTTTTACAGTTTGAATTATAATAAATAAAGCTCCTATAAATATTCATATAGAACTCTTTGTGGACTTACTTTTTCATTTCCTTGGGATAAAGATTCAGGAATAGAATTGCAGGTTTGTAAGATAGAGGCATATTGATGGAACTTTTTAAGAAACCATCTGACTGATTTTTTAATTCGTTTTATCATTTTGATCTTCCACCAGCATATGATAAGAGTTTTATAATCTACCTCCACATCAGTGACACCACTTATTATTATTTCCACCCATTTACTTTAAGTTTATGTGAGTCCTTATGTCTTAAATGAGTCTCCTGAAGGCAGCAGATGGTTGGTGAGTTCTTATTCATTCTGCAGTTCTGTATCTTATTATTATTATACTTTAAGTTCTGAGATACATGTGTAGAATGTGTGGGTTTGTTACATAGGTATACACGTGTCATGGTGGTTTGCTGCACCCAGCAACCCATCATCTACATTAGGTATTTCTCCTAATCCAATCCCTCCCCTAGCCTCAACTCCCCAACAGGCCCCTGTGTGTGATGTTCCCCTTCCTGTGTCCATGTGTTCTCATTGTTCAACTCACACTTATGAGTGAGAACATATGGTGTTTGGTTTTCTGTTCTTGTGTTAGTTTGCTGAGAATGATGGTTTCCAGCTTCATCCATGTCCCTGCAAAAGACATGAACTCATCCTGTTTTATGGCTGCATAGTATTCCACAGTGTATATGTGCCACATTTTCTTTATCCAGTCTATCATTGATGGGCATTTCAGTTGGTTCCAAGTCTTTGCTATTGTGAATAGTGCTACAATAAACATACGTGTGCATGTGTCTTTATTGTAGAATGATTTATAATCCTTTGGGTATATACCCAGTAATGGGATTGCTGGGTCAAATGGTACTTCTGGTTCTAGATCCTTGAGGAATCACCGCACTGTCTTCCACAATGGTTGAACTAATTTACACTCCCACCAACAGTGTAAATGTGTTCCTCTTTCTCCACACATCCTCTTCAGCATCTGTTGTTTCCTGACTTTTTAATGATCGCCATTCTAACGGGCATGAGATGGTATCTCATTGTGGTTTCGATTTGCATTTCTCTAATTAACAGTGATGATGAGCTTTTTTCATGTTTGTCAGCCACATAAAGGTCTTCCTGTCAGAAGTGTCTGTTCATATCCTTTGCCCACTTTTTGATGGGGTTGTTTTTTTTTTCTTGTACATTTGTTTAAGTTGCTTGTACATTCTAAACATTAGCCCTTTGTCAGATGGCTAGACCACAGAATTTTTCTCCATAGGTTGCTTTTTCACTCTGATGAGAGTTTTTTGCTGTGCAGAAGCTCTTTATTTTAATTAGATCTGATTTGTAAATTTTGGCTTTTGTTGCCATTGGTTTTGCTGTTTTAGTCATGAAGTCTTCTCCCATGCCTATGTCCTGAATGGTATTGCCTATGTTTTCTTCTAGGGTTTGATTTTTTGTTTTTGTTTTTGTTTTTTTGATGGAGTCTCACTCTGTTGCCCAGGCTGGAGTGCAGTGGCACAATCTTGGCTTGCTGCAAGCTCAACCTCCTCAGCTCATGCCATTCTCCTGCCTCAGCCTCCCAAGTAGCTGGGACTACAGGTGCCCACGACCACACCCAGCTAATTTTTTGTATTTTTAGTAGAGATGGGCTTTCACTGTGTTAGCCAAGATGGTCTCGATCTCCTGACCTCGTGATCCATCCACCTCGGCCTCCCAAAGTGTCTTCTAGGGTTTTTATGGTTTTAGGTCTTACATTTAATTCTTTAATCTATCTTGAGTTAATTTGTGTATAAGGTGTAAGGAAGGGATCCAGTTTCAGTTTTCTGCATATGGCTAGCCAGTTTTCCCAACACCATTTATTAAATAGGGAATCCTTTCCCCATTGCTTATTTTTGTCCAGTTTGTCAAAGATCCAATAGTTGTAGATGTGTGGTGTTATTTCTGAGGCCTCTGTTCTGTTCTATTGGTCTATATATCTGTTTTGGTACCAGTACCATACCATGCTGTTTTTGTTACTGTAGCCTTGTAGTATATTTTGAAGTCAGATAGCATGATGCCTCCAGCTTTGTTCTTTTTGCTTAGGTTGTCTTGGATATACAGGCCCTTTTTCTATTCCATATGAAATTGAAAGTAGTTTTTTCTAATTATGTGAAGAAATCAATGGTAGCTTGATGGGGATAACATTGAATCTATAAATCACTTTGGGCAGTATGGCAATTTTCACAATATTGATTCTTCCAATCCATTAGCATGGAATGTTTTTCCATTTGTTTGTGTCCTATCTTATTTCCTTGAGCAGTGGTTTGTAGTTCTCCTTGAAGAGGTCCTTCACATCCCTTGTAAGTTGGATTCCTAGGTATATTTTATTCTCTTTGTAGCAATTGTGAATGGGAATTCACTCAGGATTTGGCTCTGTGTCTCTTATTGGTGTATAGGAATGCTTGTGATTTTTGCACATTGATTTTGTATCCTGAGACTTTGCTGAAGTTGCTTATCAGCTTAAGGAGATTTTGGGCTGAGATGATAGAGTTTTCTAAATATACAATCATGTCATCTGCAAAGAGAAATAATTTGACTCCCTCTCTTCCCACTTGAATACCTTTATTTCTTTCTCTTGCCTGATTGCCCTGGACAGAATTTCCAATACTATGTTGAATAGGAGTGGTGAGAGAGGGCATCCTTGTCTTGTGCTGGTTTTCAAAGGGAATGCTTCCAGCTTCTGCTCATTCAGTATGATATTGGCTATGCATTTGTCATAAGTAGCTCTTATTATTTTGAGACATGCTCCATCAATACCTAGTTTATTAAGAGTTTTTAGCATGATTGGGTATTGAATTTTATCAAAGGCCTTTTCTGCGTCTATTGCGATAATCATACGGTTTTTGTCATTGGTTCTGTTTATGTGATGGATTATGTTTATTGATTTGAATATGTTGAACCAGCCTTGCATCCCAGGGATGAAGCCAACTTGATCATGGTGGATAAGCTTTTTGATGTGCTGCTGGATTCAGTTTGCCAGTATTTTATTGAGGATTTTCACATTGATGTTCATCAGGGATGTTGGCCTGAAATTTTCTTTTCTTGTTGTGTCTCTGCCAGGTTTTGGTATCAGAATGATGCTGGCCTCATAAAATGAGTTAGGCAGGAGTCCCTCTTTTTCTATTGTGTGGAATAGTTTCAGAAGGAATAGTACTAGCTCTTCTTTGTACCTCTGTTAGGATTTGACTGTTAATCCCTCTGGTCTGGGCTTTTTTTGGTTGGTAAGCTATTAATTACTGCCTCGATTTCAGAACTTGTTATTGGTCTATTCAGGGATTTGACTTCTTCCTGGTTTAGTCTTGGGAGGGTGTATGTGTCCAGGAATTTATCCATTTCTTTTAGATTTTCTATTTTATTTGCATAGAGGTGTTTAAAGTATTCTCTGATGGTAGTTTGTATTTCTGTGGCATCATTGGTGATATCCCCTTTATTATTCTTTATTGTGTCTATTTGATTCTTCTCTATTTTCTTCTTTATTAGTCTGGCTAGGCTTCTATGTATTTTGTTAATCTTTTCAAAAAACCAGCTCTTGGATTTATTAATTTTTTAAAGGGTTTTCGTGTCTTTATCCCCTTCAGTTCTGCTCTGATCTTAGTTATTTCTTGTCTTCTGCTAGCTTTTGTATTTGTTTGCTCTTGCTTCTCTGGTTCTTTGAATTGTGATGTTAGGGTGTTGATTTTAGATCTTTCCCGCTTTCTCCTGTGGGCATTTAGTGCTATAAATTTCCCTCTAAACATGGCTTTAGCTGTGTACCAGAGATTCTGGCACATTGTGTCTTTGTTCTCTTTGGTTTCTAAGAACTTATCTACTTCTGCCTTAATTTTGTTATTTACCCAGTAGTAATTCAGGAGCAGGTTGTTCAGTTTCCATATAGTTGTGTGGTTTTGAGTGAGTTTATTAATCCTGAGTTCTAGTTTGATTGCACTTTGGTCTGAGAGACTGTTTGTTATGATTTCCATTCTACGGCATTTGCTGAGAAGTGTTTTACTTCCAATTATGTGGTCAATTTTAGAATAAGTGCAATGTGGTGCTGAGAAGAATGTATATTCTGTTGATTTGTGGTGTCGAGTTCTGTAGATGTCTATTAGGTCAGCTTGGTCCAGAGCTGAATTCACGTCCTGAATATCCTTGTTAATTTTCTGTCACGTCGATCTAATATTGGCTGTGGGGTGTTAAAGTCTCCCACTATTTTTGTGTGGAAGTCTAAGTCTCTTTGTAGGTCTCTAAGAACTTGCTTTATTAATCTGGGTGCTCCTGTATTGGGTGCATATATAAGTAGGACAGTCAGATCTTCTTGTTGCATTGATACTTTTACCATTAGGTAATGCCCTCCTTTGTCTCTTTTGATCTTTGATGGTTTAAAGTCTGTTTCATCAAAGACTAAGATTGCAACCGCTGCTTTTTTTTTCTTTCCATTTGCTTGGTAAATATTCCTTCATTTCTTTATTTTGAGCCCATGTATGTCTTTTCACCCTGAGATGGGTCTTCTGAACACAGCAAACCAATGGGTCTTGACTCTTTATTCAATTTCCCAGTCTGTGTCTTTTAATTGGGGCATTTAGCCCATTTACATTTAAGGTTAATATTGTTATGTGTGAATTTGATCCTGTCATTATGATGCTAGCTGGCTATTTTGCCCATTAGTTGATGCAGTTTCTTTATAGTGTTGATGGTGTTTACAATTTGGTATGTTTTTGCAGTAGCTGTTACTGGTTTTTCCTTTCCATATTTAGTGTTTTCTTCAGGACCTCTTGTAAGGCAGGCCTGGTGTTGACAAAATTCCTCAGCATTTGCTTGTTTGTAAAGGATTTTACTTCTCCTTTGTTATAAAGCTTAGTTTGGCTGGATATGAAATTCTAGGTTGAAAATTATTTTCTTTAAGAATGTTGAATATTCTACATCTTTCTTTGGCACTGGATGTTTCCTGCCCTTGAACATCAGACTCCAATTTCTTCAGTTTTGGAATTCAGACTGGCTTTTCTTGCTCCTCAGCCTGCAGACGGCCTATTGTGGGACCTTGTGATCGTGAGAGAGGGGAGGTTTCAAGATGGCCGAATAGGAACAGCTCCAGTCCACAGTTCCCAGCATGAGCAAAGCAGAAGATGGGTGGTTTCTGCATTTCCAGCTGAGGTACTGGGTTCATCTCACCGGGGCTTGTCAGACAGTGGGTGCAGCCCACGGAGAGTGAGCCGAAGCAAGGCGGGATATTGCCTCACCCGGGAAGTGTAAGGGGTCAGGGAATTCCCTTTCCTAGCCAAGGGAAGCCATGACAGATGTACCCGGAAAATCGGGACACTCCCACCCTAATATTGCACTTTTCCAATGGTCTTAGCAAACGGCACACCAGGAGATTATATCCTGCACATGGCTCAGAGGGTCCCATGCCCACAGAGCCTTGCTCACTGCTAGTACAGCAGTCTGAGATTGAACTGCTAGCACAGTAGTCTGAGACCGAACTGCAAGGCGGCAGCAAAGCTGGGGGAGGGGCGTCTGCCATTGCTGAGACTTGAGTAGGTAAACAAAGCGACCAGGAAGCTCAAACTGGGTGGAGCCCACCACAGCTCAAGGAGACCTGCCTGCCTCTGTAGACTCCACCTCTGGGGGCAGGGCATAGCTGAACAAAAGGCAGCAGAAACTTCTGCAGACTTAAACATCCCTGTCTGACAGCTTTGAAGAGAGTAGTGGTTCTCCCAGCAGAGAGTTTGAGATCTGAGAATGGACAGACTGCCTCCTCAAGTGGGTCCGTGACCCCCGAGTAGCCTAACTGGGGGACACCTCCCAGTAGGGGCCAACTGACACCTCATACAGCTGGGTGCCCCTCTGAGATGAAGCTTCCAGAGGAAGAATCAGGCAGCAACATTTGCTGTTCTGTAATATTTGCTGTTCTGCAGCCTCCACTGGTAATACCCAGGCAAACAGGGACTGGAGTGGACCTCCAGCAAACTCCAACAGACCTGCAGCTGAGGGTCCTGACTGTTAGAAGGAAAACTAACAAACAGAAAAGACATCCACACCAAAACCCCATCTGTACATCACCATCATCAAGAACCAAAGGTAGATAAACCACAAAGATGGGGAGAAACCAGAGCAGAACAGCTGAAAATTCTAAAAATCAGGGTGCCTCTTCTCCTCCGAAGGAACGCAGCTCCTCACGAGCAACAGAACAAAGCTGGACAGAGAATGACTTTGATGAGTTGAGAGAAGAAGGCTTCAGACGATCTGTAATAACAAATTTCTCCGAGCTAAAGAAGGATGTTCGAACCCATTGCAAAGAAGCTAAAAACCTTGAAAAAGTTTAGATGAATGGCAGACTAAAATAAACAGCATAGAGAAGACCTTAAATGATCTAATGGAGCTGAAAACCATGGCACGAGAACTACGTGACACATGAACAAGTTTCAGTAGTTGATTCAATCAAGTGGAAGAAAGGGTATCAGTGATTAAAGATCAAATGAATGAAATGAAGCGAGAAGAGAAGTTTAGAGAAAAAAAGGAGTAAAAAGAAATGAACAAAGCCTCCAATAAATATGGGACTATGTGAAAAGACCAAATCTACATCTGCTTGGTGTACCTGAAAGTGACGAGGAGAATGGAACCAAGTTGGAAAACACTCTTCAGGATATTATCCAGGAGAACTTCCCCAACCTACAAAGGCAGGCCAACATTCAAATTCAGGAAATACAGAGAATGCCACAAAAATACTCCTCGAGAAGAGTAACTCCAAGACACATAATTGTCAGATTCACCAGAAAGGTCGGGTTACCCACAAAGGGAAGCCCATCAGACTAACAGCAGATCTCTCAGCAGAAACTCTACAAGCCAGAAGAGAGTGGCAGCCAATATTCAACATTCTTAAAGAAAAGAATTTTCAACTGAGAATATCATATCCAGCCAAACTAAGCTTCATAAGTGAAGGAGAAATAAAATCCTTTACAGACAAGCAAATGCTGAGAGATTTTGTCACCACCAGGCCTGCCTTACAAGAGCTCCTGAAGGAAGCACTAAACATGGAAAGAAACAATCGGTATCAGCCACTGCACAAACATGCCAAATTGTAAAAACCATCGATGCTAGGAAGAAACTGCATCAACTAATGAGCAAAATAACCAGCGAACATCATGATGACAGGATCAAATTCACACATAAAAATATTAACCTTAAATGTAAATGGGCTAAATGCTCCAATTAAAAGACACAGACTGGAAAATTGGATAAAGAGTCAAGATCCATCAGTGTGCTGTATTCTGAAGACACATCTCACGTGCAGAGACACACATAGGCTCAAAATAAAGGGATGGAGGAAGATCTACCAAGCAAATGGAAAACAACAAAAAAAGCAGGGGTTGCAATCCTAGTCTCTGATAAAACAGACTTTAAACTAACAAAGATCAAAAGAGACAAAGAAGGCCATTACATAATGGTAAAGGGACCAATTTAACAAGAAGAGCTAACTATCCTAAATATATATGCACCCAATACAGGAGCACCTAGATTCATAAAGCAAGTCCTTAGAGACCTACAAAGAGACTTAGACTCCCACACAATAATAATGGGAGACTTTAACACCCCACTGTCAACATTAGACAGATCAATGAGACAGAAAGTTAACATGGATATCCAGGAATTGAACTCAGCTCTGCACCAAGCAGACCTAATAGACATCTACAGAACTCTCCACCCCAAATCAACAGAATATACATTCTTCTCAGCACCACATCGCACTTATTCTGAAATTGACCAGATAGTTGGAAGTGAGGCATTCCTCAGCAAATGTAAAAGAACAGAAATTATAACAAACTGTCTCTCAGACCACAGTGCAATCAAACTAGGACTCAGGATTAAGAAACTCATTAAAAACTGCTCAACTATATGGAAACTGAACAACCTGCACCTGAGTGACTACTGGGTATGTAACGAAATGAAGGCAGAAATAAAGATATTCTTTGAAACCAATGACAACAAAGACACAACATACCAGAATCTCTGGGACACATTTAAAGCAGTGTGTAGGGGGAGATTTACAGCACTAAATGCCCACAAGAGAAAGCAGGAAAGATCTAAAATTGACACCCTAACATCACCATTAAAAGAACTAGAGAAGCAAGAGCAAACACATTAAAAAGCTAGCAGAAGGCAAGAAATAACTAAGACCAGAGCAGAACTGAAGGAGATAGAGACACAAAAAAACCTTCAAAACATCAATGAATCCAGGAGCTGGTTTTTTGAAAAGATCAACAAAATTGATAGACCACTAGCAAGACTAATAAAGAAGAAAAGAGAGAAGAATCAAATAGATGCAATAAAAAATGATAAAGGGGATATCACTACCAATCCCACAGAAATACAAACTACCATCAGAGAATATTATAAACACCTCTGTGCAAATAAACTAGAAAATCTAGAAGAAATGGAAAAATTCCTGGACACATACACCCTACCAAGACTAAACCAGAAAGAAATTGAATCCTTGAATAGACCAATAACAGGCTCTGAAATTGAGGCAATAATTAAGAGCCTACCAACCAAAAAAAGTCCAGGAGAGATTCATAGCCGAATTCTACCACAGATACAAAGAGGAGCTGGTACCAATTCTTCTGAAACTATTCCAATCATAGAAAAAGAGGGAATCCTCCCTAACTCATTTTATGAGGCCAGCATCATCCTGATACCAAATCCTGGCAGAGACACAACAAAAATGAGAATTTTAGACCAACATCCATGATGAACATTGATGCAAAAATCCTCAATAAAATACTGGCAAACCGAATCCAGCAGCACATCAAAAAGCTTATCCACCATGATCAAGTTGGCTTTATCCCTGGGATGCAAGGCTGGTTCAACATATGCAAATCAATAAATGTAATCCATCATATAAACAGAACCAAAGACAAAAACCACATGATTATCTCAATAGATGCAGAAAAGGCCTTTGACAAAATTCAACAGCTCTCCATGCTGAACTCTCAATAAACTATGTATTGATGGGACATATCTCAAAATAATAAGAGCTATTTATGACAAACCCATAGCCAATATCATACTGAATGGGCAAAAACTGGAAGCATTCCCTTTGAAAACTGGCACAAGACAGGGATGCCCTCTCTCACCACTCCTATTCAACATAGTGTTGGAAGTTCTGGCCAGGGCAATTAGGCAGGAGAAGGAAATAAAGGGTATTCAGTTAGGAAAAGAGGAAGTTAAATTGTCCCTGTTTGCAGATGACATGATTGTATATTTAGAAAACCCCATCTTCTCAGACCAAAATCTCCTTAAGCTGATAAGCAACTTCAGCAAAGTCTCAAGATACAAAATCAATGTGCAAAAATCACAAGCATTCCCATACATGACTTCATGTCCTTTGTAGGGACATGGATGAACTCCCATTCACAATTGCTTCAAAGAGAATAAAATACCTAGGAATCCAACTTACAAGGGATGGGAAGGACCTCTTCAAGGAGAACTACAAACCACTGCTTAATGAAATAAAAGAGGACACAAACAAATGGAAGAACATTCCATGCTCATGGATAGGAAGAATCAATATTGTGAAAATGGCCATACTGCCTAAGGTAATTTATAGATTCAATGCCATCCCCATCAAGCTACCAATGACTTTCTTCACAGAATTGGAAAAAACTACTTTAAAGTTCATATGGAACAAAAAAGAGCATGCATTGCCAAGACAATCCTAAGCCAAAAAAGCAAAGCTGGAGGCATCACTCTGCCTGACTTCAAACTACATTACAAGGCTACAGTAACCAAAACAGCATGGTACTGGTACCAAAACAGAGATATAGACCAATGGAACAGAACAGAGCCCTCAGAAATAATACCACACATCTACAACCATCTGATCTATGACAAACCTGACAAAAACAAGAAATAGGGAAAGGTTTCCCTATTTAATACATGGTGCTGGGAAAACTGCCTAGCCATATGTAGAAAGCTGAAACTGGATCCCTTCCTTACACCTTATATAAAAATTAATTCAAGATGGATTAAAGACTTAAATGTTAGACCTAAAACCATATAAACCCTAGAAGAAAACCTAAGCAATACCATTCAGGACATAGGCATGGGCAAGGACTTCATGACTAAATCACCAAAAGCAATAGCAACAAAAGCCAAAATTGACCAATGGGATCTAATTAAACTAAAGAGCTTCTGCACAGCAAAAGAAACTACCCTCAGAATGAACAGGCAAGCTACAGAATGGGAGAAAATTTTTACAATCTACCCATCTGACAAAGGGCTAATATCCAGAATCTACAAAGAACATAAACAAATTTACAAGAAAAAAAATCAAACAACCCCATCAAAAAGTTGGCAAAGGATATTAACAGACAATTCTCAAAAGAAAACTTTTATGCAGTCAAGAGACACATGAAAAAGTGCTCACCATCACTGGCCATCAGAGAAATGCAAATCAAAACCACAATGAGATACCATCTCATACCAGTTAGAATGGTGATCATTAAAAAGTCAGGAAACAACAGATGCTAGAGAGGATGTGGAGAAATAGGAACATTTTTACACTGGTGGTGGGACTGTAAACTAGTTCAACCATTGTGGAAGACAGTGCGGTGATTCCTCAAGGATTTAGAACTAGAAATACCATTTGACACAGCCATACAATTACTGGATATATATCTAAAGGATTATAAATCATGCTGCTATAAAGACACATGCACACATATGTTTATTGCGGCACTATTCACAATAGCAAAGACTTGGAACCAACACAAACGTCCATCAATGGTAGACTGGATTAAGAAAATGTGGCACATATACACCATGGAATACTATGCAGCCATAAAGAAGGATGACTTCATGTCCTTTGTAGGGATGTGGATGAAGCTGGAAACCATCATTCTCAGCAAACTATCACAAGGACAGAAATCCAAACACCGAATGTTCTCACTCATAGGTGGGAATTGAACAATGAGAGTACATGGACACAGAGTGGGGAACATCACACACCGGGGCCTGTCATGGGATGGGGGGAGTGGGGAGGGATAGTATTAGGAGATATACCTAATGTAAATGAAGAGTTAATGGGTGCAGCACACCAACATGGCACATGTATACATATGTAACAAACCTGCACCTTGTGCACATGTACCCTAGAACTTAAAGTATAATAATAGTAAAAAAGAATGTTGAATATTGGCCTCCCACTCTCTTCTGGCTTGTAGAGTTTCTGCAGGAAGATCCACTGTTAGTCTGATGGGGTTCCCTTTGTGGGTAACCCAAACTTTCTCTCTGGCTGCCCTCAACATTTTTTTCCTTCATTTCAACCTTGGTGAATCTGACGATTATGTGTCTTCAGGTTGCTCTTCTTGAGGAGTATCTTTGTGGTGTTCTCTGTATTTCCTGAATTTGAATGTGGTATTCTCTGTATTTCCTTAATTTGAATGTTGGCCTGTCTTGCTAGGTTGGGGAAGTTCTCCTGGATAATATCCTGAAGAGTGTTTTCCAACTTGGTTCCATTCTCCCATCACTTTCAGGTACACCAATCAAACGTAGGTTCAATCTTTTCACATAGTCCCATACTTGGAGGATTTGTTCATTCCTTTTCATTCTTTATTCCTTAATCTTGTTTTCACGCTTTACTTCATTAAGTTGATTTTCAATCTCTGATATCCTTTCTTCCACTTGATCGATTTTGCTATTGATACTTGTGTATGTGTCATGAAGTTCTCGTGCTGTGTTTTTCAGCTCCCTAAGGTCATTTATGTTCTTCTCTAAACTGCTTACTGTAGTTAGCAATTCCTCTGACCTTTTTCAAGGTTCTTAGCTTCCTTGCATTGTGTTAGAACATGCTCCTTTAGCTCAGAGGAGTTTCTTATTATCTTCTGAAACCAGGACCCACTTGAGGAGGCAGTCTGTCCCTTATCAGAGCTCTAGTGCTGTGTTGGGGGATCTGGTGCTCTTTTCAGAGCTGGCAGGCAGGAAACTAAGTCTGCTGGAGCTGCACTCACAGCCACCCCTTCCTCCAGTTGCTCTGTCCCAGGGAGATGGGAGTTTTATCTATAAGCTTCTGACTGGGGCTGCTGCCTTTCTTTCAGAGATGCCCTGCCCAGAGAGGAGGAATCTAGAGAGGCACTCTTGCTACAATGGCTTTGCCAAGCTGCAGTGCACCCTGCCCAGTTCAAACTTCCTAGCGGTTTTGCTTACACTGTGAGGGGAAAACCTCCTACTCAAGCCCCAGTATTTGTGGATACCCCTCCTCCCACCAAGCTTGAGCGTCCCAGGTCAACTTCAGACTGCTGTGCTGGCAGCAAGAATTTCAAGCCAGTGGAGCTTAGCTTGCTGGGCTCCATGGGGGTGGGATCCACTGAGAAAGACCACTTAGCTCCCTGGCTTCAGCCCTTTCTTCACGGGGGTGAATGGTTCTGTCTTGCTGGCATTCCAGGGACCACTGGGGTATGAAAAAAAACTCCTGCAGCTAGCTTAGTGTCTGCCCAAATGCCAGCCCAGTTTTGGGCTTGAAATCCAGGGCCCTGGTGGTGTAGGCACCCAAGGGAATCTCCTGGTCTTCAGGTTGCAAAGACCGTGGGAAAAGCATAGTATTTGTGCCAGAATGCACTGGTCTTCACGGCACAGTCCCTCACGGCTTCCTTTGGCTAGGGGAGGGAGTTCCCTGACCCCTTCCACTTCCCAGGTGAGGTGACACCCCACCCTGCTTCAGGTCACCCTCTGTGGGCTGCACCCACTGTCTAACCAGTCCCAATGAGATGAGCCGGGTACCTTGGTTGGAAATGCAGAAATGACCCACCCTATGTGTTGATCTCACGGGGAGCGGCAGACTGGAGCTGTTCCTATTCAGCCATCTTGCCAGCCACCAACTCTTTTTGTATCCTTTAAGTGGAGCATTTAGGCCATTTAGATTCAATTTTAGCATTGAAATGTGAGGTGCCACTGCATTCATCATATTCTTTATTGCCTCCGTACTTTGGTTTTGTTTTTTGTTTTTGTTTTTTAACTTGTACTTTTGTTTTATAGGTCCTGTGTGATTTATGCTTTAAAGAGATTCTGTTTTCATGTGTTTCTAGGATTTGTTTCAAGATTTAGAGCTCCTTTTAGCAGTTCTTCTAGTGGTGACTTGGTAATGGTGAATTCTCTTAGCATTTGTTTGTCCAAAAACGACTGTATCTTTCCTTCATATATGATGCTTACTTTCGCTGGATACAAAATTCTTGACTGATAATTGTTTTGTTTGAGGAGGCTATGATAGGGCTCCAATCCTTTATAGCTTGTACAGTTCCTGCTGAAAAACTGGCTGTTAATCTGATAGGGTTTCCTTTATACATTACCTGGTGCTTCTGTCTCACAGCTCTTAAGATTCTTGCCTTCGTCTTAACTTTGCATAACCTGATGAGAATGTGCCTAGGCTAAGATCTTTTTGTGATGAATTTCCCAGGTGTTCTTTGTGCTGCTTGTATTTACATGTTCTTTGTGTTTCTTGTATTTGCATGTCTAGGTGTCCAGCAAGGCCAGGTAAGTTTTCCCCAGTTATTCCCCCAAATATGTTTTCCAAGCTTTTAGTATTGTCTTTTTCCTCAGGAGCCACGATTATTCTTATATTTGGTCATTTAACATAATCCCAGACATCTTGAAGGCTTTGTTCATATTTTCTTATCCTTTATTCTTTGTCTTTGTTGGATTGGGTTAATTTGAAGTCCTTGTCTTTGAGCTCTGAATTTATTTTTTCTACTTGTTCAGTTCTATTGCTGAGACTTTCCAGAGCATGTCACATTTCCAAAGGTGTGTCCAAAGTCTACTGAATTTTTTATTGTTTTTTTATTAAGCTATCTATTTTGTTGAATATTTCACCTTTTACTTCTTATACCTTTTTTTTTTTGGATTTCCTTGCATTGGGCTTTGCCTTTCTCTGGTCCCTCCCTGATTAGCTTAATAACTAACCTCCTGAATTCTCTTTCAGGTAAATCAGGGATTTCTTCTTGGTTTGGATCCATTGCTGGTGAACTGGGAGTGTGATGAGCCTTGTTTTGTCATATTACCAGGGTTGGTTTTCTGGTTCCTTCTCATTTGGGTAGACTGTGTCAGAGGGAAGGTAGGGCTGAAGGCTGTTGTTCAGATGTTTTTATCCCATGGGGTGTTCCCTTGATGTAGTACTCTCCCTCTTTTCCTATGGATGTGGCTTCCTGTGAGCTGAACTGCAGTGATTATTGCCTGTCTTCTGGGTCTTGCCACCTAGCAAGTCTACCCAGCTCTGGGCTGGTACTGGGGACTGTCTGTACAGAGTCCTGTGATGTGAACCATCTATGGGTCTCTCAGCTGTGGATACCAGTGCCTGTTCTGGTGGAGGTGGAGGAGGGTGCAATGGACTCCATAGGGGTTCCTAGCTTTGGTGGTTTAATGCTCTATTTTTGTGCTGGTTGGCCTCCTGCATCAGCTATACTAGTGTGGAGAGGGACTAGAGGTGGGTGGGCCCTAGAACTCCAAAGATTATATGCTCTTTGTCTTCTGCTACCAGGGTGGGTAGGGAAGGACCATCAGTTGGGGGTGGGACTAGGCGTGTCTGAGCTCAGACTTTCCTTGGGCACGTCTTACTGAAGCTTCTGTATGGTGTGGGGGTGAAGTTCCCAGGTCACTGGAGTTGTGTACCTAGGAGGATTATGGCTGCCTCTGCTGAGTCATCTGAGTTGTCGGGGAAGTGGAGGGAAGCTGTCAGTCACAGGCCTCACCCAGCACCCATGCAAACTGAAGGGCTGGTCTTACTCCCACCATGCCCCCAACCCCGCAACAGCTCCAAGTCTGTTTCCAGGTGGGGGGAAAGTCAGGCTTGAAAACTTGCCTGAGGCTTTCCACCTCCCAGCTGTGAAAGAAAAGGGCTTTAGTCCTTCCCCCACCTGTGAAGTCTGCAAACCAGATTCATGCCCTCCCCCAAGTTCTGGCCAGGAGGCTTCTCCCCCTGTTCAAATTGTTAGAAAGTTCAGGTAGAGCAGTCCTCCATGTGGAGTTTTACCCTCTGTTCCTTTGGCCACACTTCTGATGGATCTCTGTGGTGCCAGGCAGGAATGAGCTGCTTGGGGATCCAGCAAGCTCTGAGGTCTTCTCTGCTGCTTCCTCTACCCCTATATTTTGCTTGGCTCAGCTCTCTAAATTTACTGAGGCCCAGGTAAAGTTGGGAACTTCTCCTGCAAACAGACTTTCAGCTTCTCCAGTTGTGGGGTGTGTTTGAGGGAGTAAGGCCTCCCTTTTCCACTTCTGCAGTTGGGGAACTCACAGTATTTGGGGTGTCTCCCTTATCCTGCAGGAGCAGTCTGCTTCCTTCACACGGTCTGTGGGTCCTCTCAGGATTGCTGGTCTGTTCTTGCAGTCAATATGGGGCTAAAATTCACAATATGAGCCTCTGCATGCTGCTCTGTCCAGAGCTGCAATCTAGTCCTGCCTCCTGTCTGCCACGATCCCTCACCTCTTGGGTTTTTCTTCTATTACTTTAAAGATGTTACTTTATTGTTTCTGACTTTCATTGTTTCTGATGAGAAGGCATCAGTCATTTGTGTAACTGTTCCTTTATATAAACAATCTTTTTTCCTCTGGCTTATAAAATTTTCCTAGCTTTCTTTGATTTTAGACAATTTAACCAAGAAGATTTGCCAAAGTAAATCATACATTTTTACTTTTCAAAATCATATTTCTGATTGATTAGTTTTCTTGAATCTGTGAGCTTTTTTTTCTTCATATTTGGAAAGTTTTCAGCCATCATTGCTTCAGGCATTTTTTCTGTTCAAGTATCTCTTTCTTCTCTTGTGATATCTGATCACAAGATCAAATGATCATATGTATATTTTAAATGTTTTTGCTAATTCTATCATTTCTGTCATTTCTGGGTCTATTTGTATTGAATGATTTTTCTCCTGGTTATGGATCACACTAAATGCTTCTTGTATGTCTAGTAAATTTTTAAATTTATGTCACATATTGTGGATGCCAGATAACTGAGCAATTTGATTTTATTGTTTACCTATGAAGAGGTTAAGCTTTCTTCTGATGGGCAACTAATTTATGTTGAGAGGATTTTGGTCTTTCTGACTTGCTTTTCAATTTTGCTAGGATTTTTGTGGAGTAGATTTTGCTCTTAAAATACATCAACTCTGTTTCCAAAGAGTGGCTTTTCTGGGGTCTCTACTGAATGCCCAAGATTTGCAATGAGGTCTCTTTTCTAGCTGGTAAGAACTCAAATATCCCCCAGTGCTTTGTGAGCTCTGCCATCTCCATTGAACTCATTGTTCCCTTGTAGTTATTCTTTCCCCAGTAGCTGTTCTTTGTCCTACTTTCATTGTGGAATCACTCCCTGTGCATATGCAGATTTATATTACACTGAGGTGACTTCTAGGTACATGACTGTAGCTCTTTATCTCCACAAATTCTTTCTCATTATTACCAAGTGTAGAAAATCCCAGCTGCCTTTGTAATCCCAAACTCTGGTGTCTCTCAGTTCATCAAGACTGCTGTGGTCTTCTTGGGCTCCATCTCTTTTTCCTTCAATCCATGATGAAATACAGCACACTTATGGGGTTGATCACATTTGTTTTCTGTTCTAAATTATCTCAATACACTACTATCTGTTGTGCAACTTGTGAAAACAGTATTTTCATATATTTTATAGTCATTTACTTCCAAAAGGCTGTTATGCTTATACCTGCTTTTTGTCCATGTACTTGTCCATTTTACTTTTCAGCGTTTGTGTACCTCCTGACTCTCATCCGCCTTCCTGCTTTTGCTCTTCAAGTCCTGGCAACACATGTCCTTTCAGACCACTGGTGCTTCAGGCCCAGTGTGTTTATACCTGTATGTATGTGTGTGTGTGTGTGTGTGTATATATATATATATATATATATATACATATATATATATATATATATATGTATATATATATATATATATATATATGGGTATATATATATATACACACATGCACACATATATTTGTGTGTGTAAATGAATATTCAGTTACATACCTGAATATTTATATATAAATATTTAAAATGTTATATTAAAATATATAAAAATACTCAGACATACATAGTGAAACAATATAATTTTTAATGAAATATTAAAAATATATAAATTTATGCAAAAATTTAAATATAAGTTTTATACACAAGTATATAAATATTCAGACATATATATAAATATTCAGATGTTTGTGTGTGTGTGTGTGTGTGTATATATATATATATATATATATATATACACATCTTAATTTTTTTTTTTTTACTTATTACCCATGACAAAAATGGCAAACAAACCTTCGGGAATTGAAATTTAGAATGACAGAATTGCACGAGTGAAAGATGACATTGATTTTTAGTGGGCATTGTGGAATGGTGCTGTGTTTAAGCTTTGGTCATTTATCTTCTGAGCTTTACATTAATATGACTTCGCCACTTCCGTATATTCTACTCCTTCCATAAAACTATTAGGAAAAATAGCAGGCCTAAAATTTCTCTTCTCTTAGACTCTTTGCTCAAAAGCAAAGGTCCTGAGACATTTTGCCAAAATGTGAGTCTAAGAGAAATTTGTCCCTAGGAAGTGAGCTTAAAGCATGGGTCTTCTAACCAATATTTGAGTTGGCTGTTGCTCCTCTTATGGTTTTAATCAAATACATACGCATTTGGGTAGTTTTCTGGGGTCCTCTGATGCCAGTGTGGTATCATAGATGACCAAGATTGACAGGTCCTTCCTGTGACAGTGGTGGAGGATATGCCTCGATAACTCCGTCCATCACCATGGTAGCAATCCTGGACCACAGGGCTTTTCTCAGGTGGTGCTGAAATTAAAATAAAATAAATCATACTCAGTAATTGCATGAGCAGAGAAACATGGGAGACAATTTATGTCACATACTGGACAGTAGCCTCTGAAAATTATTACTATTCTTTTTTCTACTAGTAGCAAAAGGATGTGAAAAGACCCAGTAGATTCATAGTATTCTAGAATTTTAATAAGTTCATAGAAACATTATTTTTAAATCTAAAGATAAAGAACAGAGGAGAATGCTGGACATTGGAAATTACATTCATGTGCAGCTCCATCATATGAATCTCTGCTGGTTTTCATGAGAACCACAGGGCAGAAGACCAGAATGCAATGCATTCCTTGGTGCAGGCTGTAGGAGGTGACTGGTGGTCAGTCAGGGGCCGACACAAGACCCTTGCGCATTTCCCTAGACCATTGCTCATACCAAGGCAAAAGGCTTAATCTTTTGAAAATTTGGGCAGGAAATCATCCTACATTTAGGAGTGCAGGCAAAGACTCATTGTTTCTCAAGGAGGGTTAGAGACAAACAACTTATTCCCTTGGAGGAGAGATAGGGAATCTTCTAGTGCCCAGAGTCCTGAATTGTAACAAAGCAGAATTCTCTTCCTCTTCTTCTGTAGACTCACTGCCAATGCAGGTTTCATGAGAAGAAGAGGCAAGAACACCTAGAAATTTCTAACTTCAAAGCTGAGGTGAACAGAGCCTGTGAAAGACTGAGATAGGCCAGGGAGAGACAGCATTCGTTGGTTACCTCCTGCTATGCAGCCCCAGGACAATAGAAAAATAATGCAGTCTCCTTAGGTTTCTCTAGGATATCATACTCAAAGGCCATGTTCTTAAGAAACTGCAAACTGTAGATTGCAATGAAAAAAGTCTACTTTAAATCACTGGAAAGGCTTATTGGCTTGGAAATCTTCACATATTTGGCAGGCTGTTAGAATATCCATTTTGGCTAGGACACTGAAATGACCCATTTAATAACCAGGGGAGTGGTAAGTCCAGTGCCCTGGCGGGTCTGTGCCCTTCCTAAAGACACCGTGCCCTTCCTAAAGACACTGCCTCCTCACAGCGTGCCAAAAATCACAGTTCTGGATCCCCCAGAGAGGGCGCTGAGGCTTTCCTCCACATTGCAGACCCTCAACCAACCCTCCAGTGTACCACTGAAGGCTTCTGCATCAGTAAGATTTTCCATGGTTTTTCATCCCAGTATATAGATGTCTAACCACAAATTTCTTACCTTGTTCAGAAGGAGCCTCTGTGCTTGGAACCGGGGCCACTGTGGGAGTTGTGAGGACACTCGATTCTGTCACTGGACATCGTGTCAGGTTGCAGTACTCCCACCTGACACTGGGATCCATGGTGTAACACCAAGGGCGAATCTCAGCATCTGGATTCCTGCAGTAGTTCCTGGTCAGGCCACTGCAAATTTCAAAACAACACAGGTCACCAGAGATGGGAGAATATTCAAGGGCACTTAGCGCCCTCTACATTTTGCTGTAACAAAGTGTTAACAAGTGCCTTTGAAATATTCCCATTATACCACAATAATATTGCCACAAGCACAAATGGTCTTCAGCTTCAACTTTTAAACAACTGTGGACACATCACAGATTATAATTTTTGTTTTAAAACATCAAAAGTAGTATATGCTCTCTATGAAAACTGAGATAATACATGTCTGTACAAGAAAGGATCAGAATATCTTCCTTTCACCTTCTGCCAAATACTTTCCTCCAGAATAAATGACACAGATTTTGAAATATGTATCTTAGATTTTTTAATGCACATACAAAGATATCTCTGTCTGTCTAGCTCTTTGTCTCTCTCTCTATAAGACTATATAGTAATATGTAAGTTGGAACTCAAATACATTTCCCCAAGGAAGAAGTGGCATCCAAGATTATATAATTCCCATGCCAGCCCCCTTACTCTATTTACTCATAGTGTAGCATAAATGCTCTACATTTGCAATATAAAATAATCATGAAAATAGTATTACTATAAATACTGTATCTGGTAGAGCAAGTGGGTTTGGGTCTACAGGACTTATAAAAGCTTCCCTGGAAAACTAGCTCCCAGGCAGGATGCTGCTTCTCTAGGATGGGTTCATGGGCACGACCTCCTCTCCTGCTCTCAGTCCATCCTCTGCTGGCTGCAGCCACTCTGGGACTGAAGGAATGGGTGATGAGTTGAAAGAACAGCGGGACCCAAGGCATAAAGGGAGACGGCTAGGTAGACTATGGGATCTGAAGGGGTCAAGTGGCTATGGATGAGTCAGAAAACAATGCAGTAAGAGGCACAGCAGGTGAAGACCCCAGGCTGGAGGAATCTTGGAGAATGCCTTCCCCATTATGCCTCCCAAGAACGTTGCTCCAACCTCTCAGAATCCTCACATTCATGACCTGTGGCTGTCTGAGAAAACTTGGAACGTATTATGGAGCATGGGAATCCAACACGGTCTCTGTAGAGACTCTACACATGTGACCTAGTCTCAAGCCCAGATCCCCCATTTGAGGATGTTAGGCAGTGGTTTTTAACACAACTGGACGTATCAAGTGATGTAGCACCTGAAACAGATACCTGCTCTGTTTTTCAGTTGAGTATATTTTCACATAGAGTGAGATGCACAGATCTTAAATGTAGCTGGATGAGATTTGATAAATACATATACTTGTGTAGCCCACACTGCCCTCACAATGCAGAACATTTTCACCACCCCAGAAACTCCCTTGTGTGGCTGCTCAATCAATCTCTGCTACCCTCTTCCCACGGCCAGTGTCAAATGCTATTGGTTTCTTTCACCATAAATTGTGTTTTCTATAAACTCACATGAATGGACTCATACAGACTATACACTTTGACGTCTGGCTTCTTTCCTTAATATATTTTTGAGGTTTGTTCATGCTTCTGAGACTATCAGTAACTTGTTCCTTGTTGATGAATAGTATTCCTTTGTATAAATATACTGGAAATTCTTTTTTCATTTTCTTTTGATGAAACCATTTAAATAGTTTTCATTTTCTTTTGATGAAAACATTGAAATAGTTTTTATTTTGAGTTTATAAAACATAAAGCTGCTATGAATATTTATATAGATTTTTGTGGACTTATGTTTTCATTTTGGGGGGTAAATATTCAAGAATAGAATTACAGGTTTGTAGGATAGATGCATATTTATCGAACTTTATAAGAAAGCATCAGACTGATTTTTTAATTTGTTGTATGATTTTGAACTTCCACCAGCATATGAGAGAGTGGCACATTCTAGCTCCAAATCGGTGACACCACTTATTATTGTGTCTTCTTAATGATATCCATGTACACTGGATGTTCAGTGTCATCTTATGAGGGTTATAACTCTTGATTTTTGATGGCTAAGATGTTGTGCACTTTTTCAGGTGATTGTTGGCTCTGTGTGCATCTTCTCCTAAGAAATGACTATTCAAGCCTGTTGCCCATTTTGATTAGGTTGTTTGTCCTCTGATTAGTGAGTGGGAGAAATGTTTCTATACTCTGGATACAGGCCATTTGTCAGATATATGGATGAGAGTGTTTTTCTTCCAGTGTGTTACTTACTTATTTATTTTCTTAACAGTCATATTTGGTGAGCATAAGTTTTTATTCAATGAATGTCCACATTATCATTTGTTTTCTTTTACAGTTAGTGTTTTCTGGTTCTTCCCTCAAAAAATTTTTCCTTCTCCAAGGTTATAAGATACTATACTTTTTCATAGCAGTCTTATATTTCAGCCTCAGAATTAGCTGTTACATTGAGGTCTAAGAGCTATCTCAAATTAATTTAATTTGAGTCATACAGTAGGATTCAAGCGTCACATTTGTTATAGTTTTTTTCTATGGCTATCCAGTTGTTTCAGACCAATTTTGGAAAAAAATTTCCTCATTAAATTGCTTTGCTACCTGTATTGAAAATAAATTGACCATATATGTAAATTTATGCTGACCCTTTTCTGTTTTTGTTTGCATATGTTTTGCCCAATACTATGTATTTTTTGTTTGTTTGTTTGAGAGAGAGAGGGAAGGTTTTAATCTGTCTCCCAGGCTAAAGTTCAGTAGCACAATCATGGCTCATTTCAGCCTCCACCTCATGGGCTCCAGTGATCCTCCCACCTCAGCTTCCTGAATAGCTGGGACTACAGGCACATGGCACCAAACCTGGCTAATTTTTTTAAATATTTGTAGAGATGAGGGTCTTGCTATGTTGCCCAGGCTTGTCTGCAACTCCTCATCTCAGGCAATCCTCTCATCTTGGCCTCCCAAAGTGTTAGGATTACAGCCAAGCGTCCCAGCCAATACCACATGTCTTGATTACTGTGTCTTTATGAGAATTTCCATATTACCATATGCATCTATCCCACAAACTTGTGATTTTATTCCAAGTTTTTTATTCTTTTTAAAGATTGTCTTGGTGATTCTAGCATATACATTCTGTTAGGTTTTCAAGAAAAGACTGCAGGAATTCTGCTTGGGTGTGGGTTGAAACTAAAGATCAGTTTTGTGAAAAGTGACATTGGATTTTTTAATCTATAAGCATGATGTGTCTTTATTTAGATCTTCTAATTTTCTTCTCACCAATGTTATGTAGTATACATGGTATAGTTCTTTTGCATATTGTGTTAAATTTATCAATAAAGTTTTTTTGTTTTGATAGTATTTTGTGGTTTTGATGCCAATTCCCATATGGTATTATTTTTCTTCTACTTACATAGCATTCTTTCACATCTTTTATTACATAATCCTGCTGATGAAACATTCTTTTATTTGTTCTTTGTTTTTAGGAGGACAGAATATGTACTTACGTAACATTCATTTTCAGTGGAATTGTTTGCTGTGCATAGCGTTTAAGCTTGCTGGGTTTTTTTCCTTCTTTTCACTCTAAAGGTGTTATTCCATTGTTTCTGACTTGATCTTTTTTTTTCTTCTTAGCATATTATTCCATTTTTTCTGACCTGATCTTTTCTTCTTCTTACTACTCTAAAGGTGTTATTTCATTGTTTCTGATTTTATCTTGTTTTCCTTCTTACCACTCTGAAGGCGTTATTCTGTTGTTCCTGATTTGATCTTTTTTTCTTTCTTACACTCTAAAGGTGTTATTCCATTGTTTCTGATTTGATCTTGTTTTCCTCCTTACCACTCTAAACGTGTTATTTTGTTGTTTCTGATTTGATCTTTTTTTCTTCTTACCACTCTAAAGGTGTTATTCTATTGTTTCTGATTTGTGTTGTTTCTGATGAGAAGGCATCAGTCATTTGTGTCACTGTTACTCTATGTAAAGGTATGTTTTTTCCCTTGGGCTTCAAATAAGATTTTACTTTCTATCTTTGATTATGGACAATTTAATTATGATGTGTCCAAATAAATCATACAGCTTTACTTTTTAAAATCCTATATCTGATCCATTGAGCTTCTTGACTATGTGAGTTTATCATTTTTTCCATATTTAGAAAGTCATCAGCCATCACTGCTTCAAGTATTTTTTCTGTTCCAATATCTCTTTCCCTTCCTCTGTGACTTGCTTTAAACAAATATTAAATATTTTGATATTTTCATAGATGTCCTTGAGGCTCTGTTTATCTTCTCAGGCTTTGTATAAGCGTGCTATGGTTTGCACCACCCTAATATTTTCTAGTTAGCTTTATCATCTGTACTATCTAATATGATTATAAGGCCATGTAGTGATTTTCTCATTAAAGAGATGTCTTTTTTTTCAGTTCTTGACTCTCCATTTGGTCCTTTTACAATTTTTCTTTCTGTTGATATTATCCATTTATTTATTTCTTGTCCACGCTTTCTTTAAATCCTTGAACACAATTATGATACATACATTTTAAATCTCCTTGCCAATTCTGTTATTTTTATCATTTTTGGGTCTATTTGTATTGACTGATTTTTCTCCTGGTTATGGGTCACACTAAATGCTTTTTGTATGTTTAGCAAATTTTTAAATGTATGCCACACATTGTGCATACTATATAATTGAGCAATTTAATTTTGTTGTTTACCTCTGAAGAGGTTGTTTTCTTCTGACAGGCAATTAATTTACTTGGAGATCATTTGGATCTTTTTAGACTTGGTTTCTAAGCTTTTCTAGGGTGTTTCTGGAGTAGACTTTATTCTAGGAATGCATTAATTCTACTCCTGAAGTATGGTTTTTTGGGGTCTTTGCTGAATGCCCAAGATGTTCAATGAAGTGTCTCTCCTCAGGCTGGTCAGAGCTCAAATACCTCCCAGTGCTATGTGAGCTCTGGCATCTTCATTGAGCTCACTGTTCCCCAGCAGTTGTTCTTTCCCCAGTAGCTGTTCTTTGTTCTCCTTTCTCTCTGGAAACTCTTTCTGTGCATACACAGCTTTCTGTTCAGCCAGAGACTTGAAGAGACTTCTGTGTGTATTCCTGGAGCTCCTTTTCTCCACAAATACTTTCTCATTATTACCTAACCTAGAAAATCTCGGTTTTATTAGTAAACAAAACTCCAGTCTCTCTCCCCAGTTTAGCAAGACTGCTGTGGAATGCTTTGGTTAAAACTCTTTGCCCTTAAGTCTAGGAAGGGTAATTATGGGGTTGATCTTATTTGTTTCCCTTTCTAAACTATCTCAGGTTGTACTGTCTGCTGTTCAACATGTGCAAACAGTTTTTCCATATTATTCATACTCACTTATGGCAAGAGGCCAGTTTTTGTCAGACATGCATTTTTTTGTCCATGTACCTGCCCATTTTAATCACCACATCTGTTTACTTCCTGACTCTCATCTGCATTCCTGCTTTTACTCTGCCTGACAACCCATATCCCTTCAGAAAACTGGTGCTTAGAACCCAGTGTGTTCATACAGGCTAGTACTCATATATAAATATATGCACTCATTTCTATTTTCTTCTTCTTCTTCTTCTTCTTCTTCTTCTTCTTCTTCTTCTTCTTCTTCTTCTTCTTCTTCTTCTTCCTCCTCCTCCTCCTCCTCCTCTTCCTCTTCCTCTTCTTCTTCTTCTTCTTCTTCCTCTTCTTCTTCTTCCTCTTCTTCTTTTCTTCTTCTTCTTCTTTTTTTTTTTTTTTGAGATTGAGTCTTGCTCTGTCACCCAGGCTGGAGTGCAGTGGCATGTTCTCGGCTCACAGCAAACTCTGAATCCCAGGCTCAAGTGTTTCTCCTGCCTCAGCCTCCCAAGTAGTTGGAATTACAGGTACCCACCACCATGACCGGCTAATTTTTTAATTTTTCGTAGAGATGGGGTTTTGCCATGTTAGCCAGGCTGGTCTTGAACTCCTGACCTCTGGTGATCTGCCCGTCTTGTCCTCCCAAAGTGTTGGGATCACAGGCCTGAGCCACTGCACCCAGCCTGAATTTGTTACTTCTGATTCGTGTCAAAAATGGCAAACACAAATTTCACTTCAGGGAATGGAGGATAGAATGATAGAATTGCATGGTTGAAAGACTGCATGGACCTTTAGTGGGCATTGTGGAATGATACTTTGTCTCAGCATTTGGTCATTTGATCTCCTTAGCTTTACATTAATGAGACTTCACCACCTCCATATATCCTGCTGCTTCCATCAAATTGTTATGAAAGATAGCAATCCTAAAACTTCTCTTCATTCAGACCTTTTGCTCAAAAGTAAGTTTCCTGAGACATTTTGCTACAAACTCTGAGTCTATGAGAAATTTGGACCTAGGAAGTGAGCTTGTAGCATGGGCCAGCTAAGAGAAATTTTAGTTGACTATTGTTCCTTTTATGGCTAACATGATAGACATACGCATTTGGATAGTATAATGGGATCCTCCGATGCCAATGTGGTGTCATAGACGACCAAGACTGACATGTTCTTCCTGTGATAGTGGTGGAGAGTGTGCCTCGATAACTCTGTCCATCACCTCGGTAGCAGTCCTGGACCCCAGTGCTGTTTTCAGTTGGTGCTGAAATTAAAAGAGAAAATCAAGCTCAGTATTGCCTAGAAAAGGGAAATGTGAAAAAAATTATGACACACAAAGTGGAATAATCTGAGGATTAACAATTTACACTCTTCTATATTAGCATGCAAATTGAAATGTAGAATAAAAATACAAATAGACTTATAGGATTCTAGAAATTTAATAAGTAGTCATAAATATTTTAATTCAACCCTGGAAAACAAACAAACAAAGAAACAAACAAAAAACAGATCAGAGTGCCTATACTTCAAAATTACACTCATGTGAATGGTCTTTTGCTTACACCTCTTCTGGGTGTTCATGAGAACAAGGCAGGAGACCAGGGTGCCATGCATCAAGCTGTTCAGGCTATAGGTGGTGATTGGCTGTTAGTGGGGGGTATACATGAAACCCTTGCACACTAGACCACTGCTCCTCCAAAGCAAAAGCCTTCAGATTCTGGGGTGTGGGGCAGAAAAGGATCTTGCATCTAGGACTTGTAGGTAAAGACACATTGCCTCTCAGGGAGAAGGAGTACAGGCCAAAATTTTATAGCCTAGGAGGGGAGACAGGGAATCTTGGGCCCAGGATCCCTCATTACAAGAAAGCTGACATCCACTACTCTTCTTCTCAAAAAACAACGGAGATAAATGTTCCATGAGAAGCAGGGATGAGAACACTGAGAAATCCCTTCCCTCAAATCCTAGGTGTGGAAGGCATGCCCAAGATGAAGGTAGGCTGGGGAGATAAACAATTTGGTGGCTATGTACTGCTTCAAAGTCTCAGGACAATACGGATCTAATGAAGACATGTTAGGTTTCTCAAGAACAACAGCCTCAAAAATGGCATTCCTTCAAAATGGTAAAGCTGAAGACTGCAATAAACACTGCCTACTTGAAGAAAGGGCTGGACAGGCTTAGGAGCTTGGTATATCTTCACAAGTTTGGCAGGATGTTAGAATATCCATCTTGGCTAGGACACTAATATGATTCGTTTGATAACAGGGAAGTGATAAATCCAGTGTCCTAGAGGGTCTGTGCCCCTTTTAAAGACACCATCCCTCACAAGGCACTCAACATCCCAGCTCTGGTCCCCCCAGAGAAGGCACTGAAGCTTCCTTCCCATTGGCTGTCCATGACTTCACCTTCGACTTCCTGTGCAGCATGGAAGTTTTCTGCATCACAAAGATTTTGCAAATCTTTTTATCCCAATGTCCGAGGGTATGGTTGTCTGACTGCAGGCTTCTTACCTTCTTCAGAAGGAAGCTCTGTGCTTGGAACTGGGACCACCGTGGGAGTTGTGAGGAGAGTTGATTCCATCACTGGACATTGCGTCAGGTTGCAGTACTCCCATCTGACACTGGGATCCATGGTATAACACCAAGGGCGAATCTCAGCATCTGGATTCCTGCAGTAGTTCCTGGTCAGGCCACTGCAAATTCCAAAACAATACAGGTCACCAGAGATTGGAGAAGATACAGCACCACCTGGCACCCTCTATGTTTTCTTGTAACAAAGTGTAAACAAGCAAATTTGAAATATTCTCACTAAAGTCCCATAACACTCACAAATGGTCCTCAACTTCTAAACAACTGTCAACATTTCAAAGACAGCTTATGATTCTTATTGTAACACATTCAAAGTAATCTATGCTTTATAAGAAAACTGAGAGAAAACATCAATGTGTACCAGAAAGGATCAGAATACCCTCCTTCTACCTTCTGCCAAATACATTCCTTTGGATTAACCGAGAGGGATTTTGAAGTGTGTCTTGGAGATTGTTTCACGTACATACAAATGTTTATCTGTCAGGCTGTCTGTAAGTCTCTATAAAACTGCATGATCTATTCAGTGTTTGATTTGCTGATTTGTTATTTACCTAAGCAATCCATCCACATGATCTACATTCATGAATTTATTTACATACAGTTGATCTCAATATCTACTTCTCAGCTTTCACACCTGGAGGATGCTATAGCAATGGCATCTCTCTCCTGTTACTCATGATGGTGATGGATATGCTCCCTCCTTGGTCTGTCATCTGTTTAGCCAGACTTTGGCCAATCATATAGACTTTTCAAAGAACCTAACTTTCTGTTTCATGGATTTACTCCTTTGTTGGTCTATTTTCTTTTCCACTGAATGTCATTGGTTTGGACTATTTCCTTCCATCCTCTTTCCTTGTGCCTTATTTGCTTTTCCTTGCCTAGATATTTAAGCTGTGGTCTTAGATCAACAGCTGTCAAAGCTGTTGTTCATAGGAACCCCCTTTTTTTCTTTTTAGCTTTGAATTGAGGCAACTTAACTATGATATATCCCAGTAAATCATAGAGTTTTGCTCTTTAAAATTCTATACCTGAGTCATTTAGCTTCTTGACTATGAGTTTCTTGTTTTCTGTATATTTGGCGTGTTGCGAGCCATCATCGCTTCAAGTATAATGTCTGTCATGATATCTTTTTCTTCTCCTTCTGTGACTTGCCTAACACATATATTAAATGTGTGGATTTTTCCTAGATGCCCTTGAGGCTCTGTTGATTAATAGGTTCAGTCTTTGTGTGTGTGTGTGTGTGTGTGTGTGTGTGTGTGTGTGTGTGTGTGTGTTTCTGTCTGTTGGTCTGTCTGTCTGTCCTGTGATTTGTGTAGCTCCTATTGAATTATTTTCTAGGTCACCTTTCCTACCGTAATGTCTAAAGTGATGATAAGGCCATCCAGTGAGTTCTTCATTAGAGATGTACCTTTTCTCAGTTCTTTAATTTTCATTTGGCTCTCCGGTTCTTTTCTTTTCTCTTGCTATTCTGCTTTTGTTTCTCTCATGGTCAGCTTTTGCTGACATTTTCCTGAAACACAGTTCTCAGAGGTGCATTTTAAATGTTCTCACCAATGTCATCAATTCTATAATTTCTGGGCCTGTTTGTGTTGAGTGATTTTTTCTCCCAGTTATGTATCACAGTGAAAGCTTCTTGTGTCTCTATTAAATTTTTAAATAGAAGTAACGCAATAGGAATGCCATATAACTGAGCAACTTGTATTTGTCCCTTGCCTCTAAGGGGGGTTGAGTTTTTTTTTTCTTGTGGAATGCAGTTAATTTACTTGGAGATCATTTGGATCCTTTTAGACTGGCTTGGAAGAAGGGTTGTTGGAGTTTTTCTGGAGTCACCTTGATTCTAGGAATAAGATGATCCCAATCCCAAAATACAGCTTTCTTTGGTCTCTACTGAATGCCCAAAATGTAGTGAGGTGTTTCTCCTCTGAGTGGTCAGAATTCAAATATCCCCCAGTGCTATGTGAGCTCTGGCATCTCCATTGAGCTTACTGTTCCCCTGCAGTTGTTCTTTCCCAAGTAGCTTTTCTTTGTTGTTCTTTCTTTATGAAAACTCTCCCTGTGCATACGCAGCTTTGTATTTAGCCAAAGCCTTGAGGAGACTTCTGTGTGTATTCCTGGAGCTCCTTTCTTCCACAAATCCCTTCTCATTCTTAGCCAGCCTAGAACACATCAGCTGCCTGAGGCATCGCAGACTCCAGTCTCTCTCCTCAGTTAAGCAAGACTGCTGTGGTCAGCTGGGCTCCATCTGCTTGTCCTTCAATCCAACACTGTGTCCAGGAAGGAAGACAGGTTAATGATGAAGTTGATCTCCTTTGATTCCCTTTCTCAGTTCTCTCAAGCCTACCATATCTGTTGTCCAACCTGTGAAAACTGTTTTCTCATGTATTTGATAGTCCTTCATGGCAGAAAGGCTGGCATAGCCAGACATGGGTTTCTGTCCATCTTCCTGAATGTGTAACTCTTCAGCATCTCTATACTTCCTGACTCTCAGCTGCCTTCCTCCTTTTGCCCCTCATGGGCTGGCAACACATAGCTTTTCAGACACCTTGTTCTCAGAACCCAATGTGTTTATACAGGTTAGAGGAGAAAGTGATCGGAAGATCTCGAAGTCAATATAGATATCCTTCACTTGTTACCCAAGACAAACATGGCAAACACAACCTTCACTCCAGGGCTTGGAGATTAGAATGACAGAATTCCCTGGTTGAACTATTTCACTGGTCTTTAGTGGGCATTGTGGAATGGTGCTATTTCTAAGCACATGGTCATATGTTCTTCTGAGCTTTCTATTCATGAGACCTCACCACCTCCAAGTATCCTCCTACTTCTATCAACTATGAGAAAAGAGAGCTGGCCTGACATTTCTCTCCTCTCAGACCCTGTGCCCAAAGCAAGAAGCCTGAGACATTCTGTCCAACATTCTGGGTCTGAGAGAAATTGGGTCATAAGAAGTTAGCTGGAAGCATGGCTCTTCCAGGAGAAATTTAAGTGGGTGGCTGTTTCTCTTGGGAGAAAACTCAAAGACATACCCATTTGGGTAGTATTCTGTGGTTCTCTGATGCCAGTGTGGTGTCATAGAGGACCAAGACTGACATGTCCTTCCTGTAACAGTGGTGGAGAATGAGCCTCGATAACTCTGTCCATCACCATGGTAGCAGTCCTGGACTGTGGGGCTTTGCTCCGTTGGTGCTGAAATTCAAAGAGGAGAAAACAAACTGAGTAATTTCCAGAACACAGAAGCATGAGAAAAAAAATCCATGATAGAAACAGGACATCATCTCTGAAAATGACGACCATGCTCTGTTCTACATTAGTAGGCAGATGGACATGCCAATAACAAAGCTCAAAGATTCATAGCATTCTGGAACTTCAATGAGTTTTTAGAAAGATTTTCTTTAAAACCTGGGCACCAAAGGACAGATCAGAGTGCCTATCAGTCAAAATTGCACTCATGTGCCTGTTCTTTGGCAAAGATCTCTTTTGGGTGTTCCTGAGAACAAGGCAGGAGACCAGAGTGCCATGCATCAGGCGGTGCAGGCTGTAGGTGGTGGTTGTCAGTGGGGGCAGACATGAAACCGTCACACATTTCTCCAGAGCACTGATCCTCCAAAGCCAAAGCCTTAAGTTTCTGGAAGATGGGGCAGGAAGTGGTCCTCCATCTAGGACTTCCAGGCAAAGACACATTGTCTCTCAGAGAGGGGTACTGGCCAAAATTTTATTCCCTTGGAGGGACGGCGGGAAATCTTGGGCCCAGGATCCTGCATTGCAACAAAGTAGACATCCACTACTCTTCTTCACAAACAGCAACACAGATACGTGTTCCATGAGAAGGAGGGGCAAGAACACTAAGAAATCCCTTCCATCAAAGCCTAGGTGTGCAGCACCTGCCTAAGATTAAGGTAGACAGGGAGATAGAGCATTTGCTGGCTATGTACTGTTACCTAGACCCAGGAGGATATGGAACTAAGTAAAGTCATATCAGGTTTCTCAAGGATGACAGACTCAAAAACCACATTCCTCTGAAACTGTAAAGCTGAAGTTTGCAATGAGTACTGTCTACTTGAAGAAATACCAGGAAAGGCTCATGATGAGCTTGGTAAATCATCACAAATTTGGCAGGATGTTAGAATATCCATTTTCACTAGGACACTGAAATAATCTATTGAATAACCAGGGGAGTGGTAAATCCAGTGCCCTAGAAGGTCTGCACGCTTCCTAAAGACACCACCCTGTCACGGGGTGCCAAAAATCTCAGCCCTGGTTCCCCCAGAGAAGGCGCTGAGGCTTCCTTCCCATTGGCTGACCCTGAGTCCACATTCAGATTCCCGTGCAGCATGGAAGGCTTCTGTATCACTAAGATTTTGCAACTCTTTTTATCCCAACGTCCAAGGGTGTGGTTGTCTGGCCAGAGACTTCTTACCTTGTTCAGAAACAGCCGTGGACGTCGCAAGGACACTTGATTCTGTCACTGGACATTGTGTCAGGTTGCAGTACTCCCATCTGACATTGGGATCCATGGTATAACACCAAGGACTAATCTCAGCATCTGGATTCCTGCAGTAGTTCCTGGTCAGGCCACTGCAAATTACAAAACAATACAGTTCACCAGAGATGGGAGAAGATACAAGGGCACCAGACATCCTCTACATTTTGTTGTAACAAAGTGGTAAAAAGTGACTTTGAAATATTCTCACTAAAGGTCCTGTAACAATCACAAATCGTCCTCAACTTCTAAACAACTGTGAACATTTCAAAGACAGATTATCATTCTTATTGTAACACATCCAAACTCGTCTATACTCCATAAGAAAACCGAGAGAAAACATCAATGTGTACAAGAAAGGATCAGAATACCCTCCTTCCACCTTCTGCCAAATATGTTACTTTGGATTAACTGAGAGATTTTGAAGTGAGTCTTGTAGATTGTTTTATGCACGTACAAATGTTTCTCTGTCTGGCTATCTGTATGTCTTTCTATAGGAGTACCCAATCTATTCAGTATCTGGTTTGCTGATTTGTTGTTTACCTAAGGAATTGATCCACATGATCTACATTCATGAATTTATTCACATACAGTTTTTCTTGATATCTTCTTGTCAGCTTTCAGACCTGGAGTATGGTATAGCAATGGCTCCTCTCCCCTGTTACTTCAAATGGTGATGGTTGTACTCCCTCCTTGGTCTGTCATCTGTTCAGCCAGACTGTGGTCAATCACATGAATCTTTTCAAAGAACCAACTTTCTGTTTCATGGATTTACTCCTTTGTTGGTCTATTTTCTTGTTCACTGAATGTCATTGGTTTGGACTATTTCCATCCATCCCCTTTCCTTGTGTCTTATTTGCTTTTCCTTGCCTAGATATTTAAGCTGTGGTCTTAGATCAACTGTCAAAATGTTTGTTCATAGGAACCCCCTTTTTTTCTTCTTAGCTTTGAAATCAGACAATTTAACTATGATGTACCCCAGTAAATCAGAGTTTTGCTCTTTAAAAATCTATACCTGAGTCATTGAGCTTCATGACTATGAATTTCTCATTTTCTGTATGTTTGGAAATTTGTCAGCCGTCATGGCTTCAAGTATAACTTCTGTCACATTATCTTTTTCCTCTCTTTCTGTGACTTGCCTAACACATATATTAAATGTGTGGATGTTTTCCTAGATGTCCTTGAGGCTCTGTTGATTAATTGGTTCAGTCATTGTGTGTATGTGTATTTGTGTCTGTCTGTCTGTCTTGTGGTTTGTCTAGCTTTAATTGAATCATTTTCTCGTTCACCTTTTCCTACCATAATATCTAAACTGGTTATAAGGCCATCCAGTGAATTCCTCATTACAGATATAACTTTTCTCAGTTTTTAAATTTCCATTTGGCTCTTCAATTCTTTTCTTTTCTGATATTATGCATTCATTTCTCTCATGGTCAGCTTTTGCTGACATTTTCCTGAAACACAGTTCTCAGAGGTGCATTTTAAATGTTCTTGCCAATGCCATAATTTCTATTATTTCTGGGCCTATTTGTGTTGAGTGATTTTTCTCCCAGTTATGGATCACAGTGAAAACTTCTTTTGTGTCTAGTAAATTTTTAAATGCAAGTTGCACTCTGGGGATGTCATATAACTGAGAAACTTGTATTCGTTCCTTACCTCTAAGGAGGGTTGAGTTTACTTTTTTCTGGAAGGCAGTTAATTTACTTGGAAATCATTTGGATCCTTTTAGACTGGCTTGGAAGAAGGGTTGCTGGAGTGTTTCTGGAGTCACCTTATTTCTAGGAATCCGAAGATCCTACTCCCAAATTATGGCTTTCTTTGACCTCTACTGAATGCCCAAGATGTTCAGTGAGGTGTCTCTCCTCTGAGTGGTCAGAACTCAAATATCCCCCAGTGCTATGTGAGCTCTAGCATCTCCATTGAGCTCACTGTTCCCTTGCAGTTGTTCTTTCCCCAGTAGCTTTTCTTTATTGTTCTTTCTTTGTGAAAACTCTCCTTGTGCATACGCAGCTTTGTATTTAGCCAAAGCCTTGAGAAGACTTCGGTGTGTATTCTTGGAGCTCCTTTCCTCCACAAATCCCCTCTCATTCTTAGCCAGCCTAGAATACGTCAGATGCCTGAGGCATCACAAACTCCAGTCTCTCTCCTCAGTTAAGCAAGACTGCTGTGGTCAGCTGGGCTCCATCTGCTTGCCCTTCAAGGGTCTCAAGGAAGGATGCCAGGGACATGATAAGGTTGATCTCCTTTGATTCCCTTTCTGAATTTTCTCAGGCCTGTCATGTCTGTTGTCCAACCTATGAAAACACTTTTCCTATGTATTTGATAGTCCTTCATGGCAGAAACGCTGACGTGGTCTGAACTGGGTTTCTGTCCATCTTCCTGCATGTGTAACTCTTCAGAATCTTTATACTTCCTGACTCTCAGCTGCCTTCCTACTTTTGCCCCTCATGTGCTGGCAACACATAGCTCTTCAGATACCTTGTTCTCAGAACCCAGGTACAGGTTAGAGGAGAAAGTGATTGGAAGATCTGGATGTCAACATAGATATCCTTTATTTGTTGCCCAAGATGAACATGGCTAATACAACCTTCACTTCAGGACTTGGAGATTAGAATGACAGAAATCCCTGGTTGAACTATTGCATTGGTCTTTAGTGGGCATTGTGGAATGGTGCTATTTCTAAGCACGTGGCCATGTGTCCTGAGCTTTCTATTCATGAGAACTCACCACCTTCAAATATCCTCCTGCTTCTGTCAACTATGAGAAAAGAGAGCTGGCCTGACATTTCTCTCCTTTCAGACACTGTGCCTGAAGAAAGAAGCCTGAGACATTCTACCCAACATTCCAGATCTGAGATAAATTTGTCATAAGAAGTTAGTTGGAAGCATGGCCCTTCCAAGAGAAATGTAAGGGGGCTGCTGTCTGTCTTTGAAGAAAACTCAAGGTTGTACCCATTTGGATAATATTCTGTTGTCCTCTGATGCCAGTGTGGTGTCATAGAGGACCAAGACTGACATGTCCTTCCTGTGACAGTGGTAGAGAATGAGCCTCGATAACTCTGTCCATCACCATGGTAGCAATCCTGGACCCCGGGGCTTTGCTCCGTTGGTGCTGAAATTCAAAGAGGAGAAATCAAGCTGAGTAATTTCTAGAACACAGAAGCATCAGAAGAAATCTGTGACTGAAACAGGATCATTGTCTCTGAGAAAGACTACCATGCTCTGTTCTGTACTAGCAGGCAGATGGACATACCAATAATAAAACCCAAAGATTCATAGCATTCTAGAACTTTAACGAGTTCTTAGAAAGATTTCCTTTAAAACACAGGCACCAAAGGAAAGATCAGAGTGCCTATCAGTCAAAATTGCACTCATGTGCATGCTCTTTAATATAGACATCTTCTGGGTGTTCCTGAGAATAAGGCAGGAAACTAGACTGCTATGCATCAGGCTGTGCAGGTTGTAGGTGGTGATTGACTGTCAGTGGGGACAGACATGAAACCGTCACACATTTCCCTAGACTGCTGATCCTCCAAAGCCAAAGCCTTCAGCTTCTTGAAGATGGGGCAGGAAGCGGTCCTGCATCTAGGACTCGTAGGCAAAGACAAATTGTCTCTCAGAGAGGGCTACTGGCCAAAATTTTATTCCCTTGGAGGGATGGCTGGTATCTTTGGCCCAGGATTCTGCATTGCAACAAAGTAGATATCCACTACTCTTCTTCTCAGAGACCAACACAGATATATGTTCCATGAGAAGGAGGGGCAAGAACACTGAGAGATCCCTCCCATCAAAGCCTAGTTGTGCAGGACTGGCTTAAGATGGAGATAGGCCAGAACGATGGAGCATTTGTTGGCTATGTACTGCTACCTGGACCCAGAAGTATATGGAACTAAGAAAAGTCATATTAGGTTTCTCAAGGATGACAGACTCAAAAACCGCATTCCTCCGAAACCGCAAAGCCAAAGATGCAATGAACACTGACTACTTGAAGAAATACCATGAAAGGCTTATCATGAGCTTGGTAAATCTTCACAAATTTGGCAAAATGTTAGAATATTCTTCTGGCTAAGACACTAAAATGATCCTTTGAATAACCAGGGGAGTGGTAAGTCCAGTGCCCTAGAGGGTCTGCACCCTTCCTATAGATACCACCCTTTCACAGGGTACCAAACATCACAGCTCTGGTTCTCCCAGAGAAGGCGCTGAGTGTTCCTTCCCAGTGGCTGACCCTGAGTCCACATTCTACTTGGAATTGTGTGAGCATGGAAGGCTTCTATATCACTAAGATTTTGCAACTCTTTTCATCCCAACGTCCTAGGGTGTGGTTGTCTGGCCATAGACTTCCTACCTTCTTCAGAAGAAGCCTCTGTGCTTGGATCTGGGACCACCGTGAGAGTTGCAAGGACACTTGATTCTGTCACCAGGCATTGTGTCAGGTTGCAGTACTCCCACCTGACACTGGGATCCATGGTGTAACACCAAGGGCGAATCTCAGCATCTGGATTCCTGCAGTAGTTCCTGGTCAGGCCACTGCAAATTTCAAAACAACACAGGTCACCAGAGATGGGAGAAGATTCAAGGGCACTTAGCGCCCTCTACATTTTGCTGTAACAAAGTGTAAAAAGAGACTTTGAAATATTTTCACTAAAGGTCCCATAATATGCACAAATGGTCCTCAACTTCTAAACAACTGCGAACATCTCAAAGACAAATTATCATTCATATTGTAACACATCCAAAGTCATCTGTGCTCCATAAGAAAATTGAGAGTAAACATCAATGTTTACTCTGTACATTGTGCAAGTTGCACTTGTACTTGTACAACTTCAATTGTACTTGTACAATTATACTCTGTACATTGTACAATGTTGTACAATGTACAAGAGGATCAGAATACCCTCCTTCCACCTTCTGTGAAATATGTTCCTCCAGATTAACTGAGATTGATTTTGAAGTGTGTCTTGTAGATTGTTTTATGCACATACAAATATTTCTCTGTCAGCCTCTCTGTATGTCTCTCTACAGGACTACACTAACTATTCAGCATCTGGTTTGCTGATTTGTTGTCTTCCTCAGGAATTGGCCCACATGATTAACATTCCTGAATTTATTCACATACAATTGTTCTCAAAATCTTCTTTTCAGCTTTCAGAACTGGAAGATGCTATAGTAATGGCACCTCTCCTCTGTTACTCCAGATGGTGATGGTTGTGCACCCTCATTGGTCTGTCATTTGTTTAGCCAGACTGTGTTCAATCATATGGATCTTTTCAAAGAATCAACTTTCTGTTTCAAGAGTTTACTCCCTTGTTGGTCTCTTTTCTTGTTCACTGAATGTCACTGGTTTGGACTACTTCCTTCCATCTGCTTTCCTTGGCTCTTATTTGCTTTTTTTTTTTTTCTTGTGTAGATATTTAAGCTGTGGTCTTAGATCAACAACTGTCAAAGTCTTTGTTCATAGGGGATTCCAAAGAGCTTTTCTTTTTCAAAACACAAGATGAATATTTATAGTATAAGAAACCAACACTGAGAATTTTTTTAACACACAAAGTCAACAATTGCCCATTTTCTTAGCCATCAGAGACATGATGCCATTACATATTATGTAACTGCTGGAAAACTCCCCTCTTCTCTTGTTGGAAAATGAAAGTAAAAAGGGCCAATAGCATCTTACTTTTCACGTAGCAAAGTCCTTTAACCTCATGGACTGTCTCTGAAGGTACTCAAAGGTCCTCAGGTTTCTCTAGACTACACTTTGAGAATTGCAGTTTGAAATCTTGATTATTACATGCTTCTGTTTTTCCCTAAGAGCATCTAAAATTATGTAAAAGCCTAAAGACATTCACTGCATCTCCTAAGTTTGGATAAATTGTGTTATATTCTTACTCAGTTCAAAACTTTTCTAAATTCCTTAGTGATGTTTTCTTTGTCCCAAAGAGTATTTTGAAATGCACCGTATGACTCCCAAATATTTGAGAAGCTGGCAAACTTCTCATTATTCATATCTCACTTTATTCTGGGAGAATAAAGTGACACACTCTGTATGACTTTAATTCTTTTAAATCTATGGAGACTTGCTGGAAGGTCATGTGTAGAGTACACCTCAGTGAATGCTCCATGCACACTTTAATGTGTACTCGGTAGTTCGGTATAATGTTAAATAGGTCGACGTTTTTATTGAGAACAAAGATACTATGTCTAATTTTCTGCATATTTGTTCTAGCCTGTTGTGTTTGGGAAAGATTTATAACCATAGTGAGAGAATCAAGGAAATCTCTAACTCAGAGTGTGGGCTTATCTATTTCTCTCTTCAGTTGTGTCAGTTTTTCAATCATACATCACAAAAGCTCTTATTAGGGTAAAACACATTGAGCATTGCTACATATTCCTCAATGAACAATTTTTACTTCTCTATGTTTCAATGCTCGTGTGGCTCTAGGATTCACACCTGTGTGGGTGTGGGTGTGTGCACGTGTGCCATTGTGTGTATATATGTGCAGCTATTTCTGTAGATTCTATTGAATTATTTTTCAGTTAATTTTTTCCCTGGAAACAACTAACCTGATTGGGAGACCATCCAGTGAATTTTTCATTTAAGATATACCTTTTAATAGTCCTTTAATTTGATTTGACTCTTTTATCCTTTTACTTTCCCTTGATATGATATCTGTTACGTTCCATGTTTATGTTTTCTTAAATCCAGCAATGCAGTTATGATACTAATATGTCAAATTCTCATGCCATTTAAATCATTTCTATCATTCCTGGTTCTATTTTTATTGACTGATTATTTTCCTGGTTATGGTTCACACTAAATGCTTTTTTATGTGTAGTAAAGTTATAAATTTAGGACTCACACTGTGGATATTGCATAGCTCAGCAACTTAACTTTGTTGTTCACCTGTAAAGAGTGTTGAGTTTTCTTCTAGAAGGCAGTTAATTGACTAGGACACCATTTTAATGCTTGGAGATTTGCTTTTCAGCTTTGCTAGGTTTTTTCTGGAGCTGCCTTTATTCTAGGAATATACAAAGTCTACTCATAAAGTCTGACTTTTCTGAGGTCTCTACTGAATGCCCAAGATTTTCAATGAGGTCTCTTCTCTCTAGCTGGTCAAAACTCCAATATTCCAGAGCACTATGTGAGCTCTGTCACCTTTATTAAGCTCACTGTTCCCTTGTAGTTGTTGTTCCTCAATATATGGTGTTTTTTTGCCATATTTTCTTGTGGAAAATCTTCTATGCAAGTGCTGCTTTATGTTTAGACTAACACTTGAGGAGACTTCTATGCCTGGAGCTCCTATCCTCCACAAGTCCATTCTTACTCTTAGCATGGCTAGAAAATCCTAACTACCTGAGTAATCCCAAAGTCCAATCACTCTCCTCTGTTCAGCAACATGGCTACAGTCAGCTTGGGCTCCATCTCCTTGCTCTTCAGTGCAGGAAGGGTCTCCTTGAAGAAAGCCAAGGCATTGATGGGTTGATCTCATTTTCTCCCTCTTGCAATACTCTTGGTCCTCTAGCATCTGTTGTTCAACATGTGGAAACCGTTTTGCCGTGTCTTTGGTAGTCACTTATGGCCGAAAGACTGGCCATAGAATGGCCAGATCATGGCTTCTGTCCATCTACCCGCCCCTTTTACTTTTCAGCATCGCCCCTTTGCTGACTCTCATCTGCTTTCCTGCCTTTGTTCTTCTCCTCTGGGCAGACCGTATCTCTTCAGACCACTGGTGCTCAGGACCAAGTGTGTTTGTACCCATTGAAAAAGAAGTAGATAGAAAAAGATTTGCCTCTCCATAGATGTGCAAGTATCAATTCCCTGTGACCCAAGATGCAAAAGGCCAACACAACATTCACTTCAGGGACTAGAGCTTAGAATGATAGAATTCCAAGGTGAAAAGGTTGTATTAACCCTCAGCCGATGTTGTAGAAGGATACTCTAACTCTTTGGTCATTTGTCATCCCGGCTGTTTTATTAATAAGATCTTCTCAACTCCATATATCCTTCTGCTTCCATAAAACTAGGAGGAAGGAGAGCCAGCTTAAAAAATGTCTTCTCAGCCAGGCACGGTGGCTCACGCCTGTAATCCCAGCACTTTGGGAGGCTGAGGCAGGCGGATCACGAGGTCAGGAGACCAAGACCATCCTGGCTAGAACAGTGAAACCCTGTCTCTACTAAAAATACAAAAAATTAGCCGGGTGTGGTGGTGGGTGCCTGTAGTCCCAGCTGCTAGAGAGGCTGAAGCAGGAGAATGGTGTGAACCCGGGAGGCGGAGCTTGCAGTGAGCCGAGATCATGCCACTGCACTCCAGCCTGGGCAACAAAGCAAGACTCTGTCTCAAAAAAACAAAGTCTTCTCTAAGAACTTTTGCTCACAGGAAATGTTCCTCTGCATCTGAGCCAAGTTGAGTCCTGAGCAGTCACCTTGAAGCATGACTCTTCTAACAGAAACTTCCATTGGCCCTTCCTTCGCTTATGGTAAAGAACAAAGACGTACGCATTTGGGTAGTTTTCTGGGGTCCGACTATGCTGGTGTGGTGTCATAGATGACCAAGCTTGGCAAGTTCTTCCTGTGACAGTGGTGGAGTATGTGCCTCGGTAACTCTGTCCATAATGGTAGTAGCAGTCCTGTACCCCGGGGGTTTCCTCAGTCAGTGCTGAAATTAAAACAGAAGACATCAAGCTTATTATTTCCTAGAACAGAAAAATACAGGAAGCCATTTATGACATAAACCAAAAAAGAGTCACTGAGATTTACAACCATTCTCTATTCTTTATTAATAGGCAAATGGACATGAGAAAACACACAAACAAACACGAAAGTAAGAGATGCCTACCATTCTAGAACTGTAGTAAGTTCTTAGAAATATTTCATGTAAAACTTAGTGGAAAAGAAATATCAGATTGCTTCTCATCGGAAACTCCACTAACATGGAAGCTCATTTCTAGGAATCTCTACAGAGTGTTCATGACGACATGGAACAGCATAGAAGAAAGGGTGATGCATTTGGCAAAGCTGAAAAGCAAGTCTCCAAGCATTAAAATGGTTTTTTGGGGAGGAGGCAAGGACATATAAAAACCTTGCATGTGTCCCTAGATGATTGCTCAAAAAAGAAAGCATTAAACTCCTGGTGATGGGGCAGACAACAGTCCTGCAGCTAAAACTGTAGGCAACAACACTTCACTTCTCAGGGATGAGTGGAGGCCAAAAGCTTATCACCTACAATAAGATAGGGAATCCTCTCGTGCCCAGCATAATGCATTGCAATAAAGCAAAAGTCTACTACTCTTTTTCTCCAGACCCCCCGCAGGTACAAGTTCCATCAGAAAGAGGCAAAAGCACACGAAAAAATCACTCCCTTCAAAGCTAAGAACTGCACAACCTGCCTCGGACTGAAAAAGACCTGAGAGATAGAGCTTCGGGAGCTCATGTACTACTCCACAGACCCAGGGAGATATGGAATTAATGCAACCCAGTTAGGTTTCTCAAGGATAACAGGATCTAGAGCCACATTTCTCGGAATCTGCAATGCTGAAGATTGCACTGAATGCTGTCTACTTGAAGAAATCCCTGGAAAAGTTTACTGGCTTGGAAAGACACACACATCTGACAGCATATTACAATAAGAATTTTGTCTAGGACAATGAGATAGCCCCTTTTACAATGAGGGGAGTGGTGAAGTCGAGCACCCAGAATGGTTTCCGCCCATCCTAAAGACACAGCTCGCACAGGTTGCACCAAAAATCACACCTCTGGCTCCCCCAGAGAGTGCGCTAAGGCTTCCTCCCACATGGCAGACCCAGAACCAACACACGAGAACCAGTGTAGCACTGAAGGGTTGTGCGTCAGTGGGGGTATCCATGGCTTTTCATCCCAGCATCCAAGCAGGTAAATGTCTGGCACAACTTCTTACCTTGTTCAAAAAAAGCCTCTAGGCTTGGAGCCAGAATAACATTCGGAGGGACGAAGGCAGTCCATTCTGCATCTGAGCATCGTGTCAGGTTGCAGTACTCCCACCTGACACTGGGATCTGTTGTATAACACCAAGGGGCTGCCACAGGATCTGGATTTCGGCAGTAGTTCTTGATCAAGCCACTGGAAATTCCAAAAGAATACACATCACAAAAAATGGGTACATATGCAGGAACACTGTATATTTTGCTACAACAAGGTCATTACTGGTGCCTTTGAAATATTCCCAAAAGAGATACCATACAATTGCCACAATGACAAATGGCTCTCAATCTCTAATCCTCTCTGCACATTTCTCATACTTAATATATTATCACTTTTTTTAAAGAAAAAAAATCTAATGCAGCACACACTTCCTAGAAACACTGAGATTATACATACATGTGGCCAAAAAGGGATCAGAATATCCTCCTTCTGCCTTCTGCCCAATCCATCTCTCTGGAATAACTGGTATGGATTTTGACGTGTGTATTGTGGAATTGGTTATGCACATACAAAAGTATCTCTATCTGTCTAGCTCTCCGTATCTCTCTGTGTAGGACTTCATATAGTAATGTGCGAGTTGGAACTAACACATAGTTCTCCAGAGAAAAAAATGGCATCCAGCATGATATCCTTCCCAGGCCAGCAGTCTCATTCAATGTACTCAAAATGTAGCCAAAAGGCTCTATGTTCAGCATGTAAAACCATTGCACAAAAAGTATTCCTGTCTGTCGATACCGTATCAGGTGGGTCAAGTGGGTTTCTTTCTGCAAGACTTCTCAAAGCTGCCCTGGAAACCTAGCTTTCAGGCAGGATGCAGTATCTCTAGGATGGGTTCCTGGTCAGGACTTCCTCTCCTGCTCTCAGTCCATCCTCTGCTGGCCACAGCAATTCCGGGACTGAGGGAATGGGGGATGAGTTGAAAGAACAGTGGCACTCATGGCATAAAGGGAGACAGCTGGGCAGACTATGAGGTCTGAAGAGGTCGGGCAGCTATGGAGGACCTCAGGCTGGGGAAATCTCAGAGCATTCACTCCTCCTTATGCCTCCTAAGAACATTGCTCCAACCTCTCAGAATCCTCCCATTCGTGACCTGTGGCTGCCTGGGAAAACGGGAAATGTATTATGGGCCATGGGGATCCAACACTGTCTCTCTAGAGACTCTACACATGTGACCTAGTCTCAAGCCCAGACCCTCCATTCCAGGAAGCTGGTTCAATGAGCAACTGGATGTGCTCAGAGCTTGAGTACTTGAAAGACTTCTTTTTCTTCCTTGGCTTCCCTCTTTTGGATACATGGAAAATTCTTATTATATAATATCCCTCAGAATTCAAAATTTTATGATTGCTTTAGGATTTACAATATCCCTTTGGACCCACAAATTCAACCTTTCATTAATATTACATACCATCGTGGATAAGGTAAGAAACTTACAATGGTACACTTCCAATTATTCCCCACATGATTTAGTCTATATGTTCAAATTTTTACCTCTACATATGCTAAAGTTAAATATATTGCTATCATTTTGCTTCAAGTAGTCAACTCTCATTTAAAAAGATATAGAAATTTGATCAAGAAAATATTTTGCATTTACATCTACATTTGCCATTTGCTGGGTTCTTCATTACGTGGGCTGCAGAAAGTTCTCCTCTTGAACTATTCTTCTTCTAGCTAATTTTCTTTGGGCAACATCTCTTGTTACACAAGCCTGCTGATTCCAAATTATTAGTTTTTGGTTTATTTATTTGGGGCAGTGCACAATATGCATTTATCCAACATGGATGATCTTCAAGGCATTTTATTGCTGGATGTAGCATTCTCATTTGATCTCTTTTTTTTCTAGTTTATCATTTTAATGATATCCCCTGTTAACTGGGTTCCAGTGTTTCTGATGAGAATGCATTAGCAATTTGTATCACTGTTCTTCTAGCAAGACACAGCTCTTTTTCCTCCAGTTTCTCATGAGATGTTTCTTGTTATTATATCTTTGCCTTCTGACTGTTGAACGGTGATGTACAAAAGTGAATCATACAGTTTTTTTTTTTTTTTTTTTGGAAATTCCCTGTCTGATTCATTCAGCTTCTTGAATCTGTGGTTTTTAATATTCTTCTTATTTGAAAAGTTTTTAGCTATCCTTGCTTCCAGTATTTGTTCCTGTAGCAATCTCTCCTTCCTCTCCTTCTGTGACTTCCTACCCACATGCAGGAAATCTTTTTATATTTTCCCGCCTGTCTGTGAGGATCAGTGGATTTCATTTTTTAGTATTTGTGGAGGTGTGTGTGTGTGTGTGTGTGTGTGTGCGTGCATGTTTCTAAGCCTGTGCATGTGTGAGTATGTGTGTATATGTGTGTGTCATTTGTGTATGTGTAGCTGGTTCTGTAGGTGGTATAAAATTGTTTTTCAGTTAGTTTTTACTTCTGAAACATCTCACTCCATTGGGAATACATCCAGTAATTTTTTCATTTAAGACATACCTTCTTATACTAGTTCTTTAATTTAATTTGGCTCTTCTATACTGTTACTGTCTCTTGATATGGTATCTGCTTCATTCCGTATTCATGTTTTCTTAAAACCTAAAACTCAGTTGACATATTGATATGTCAAATTTTTTGCCATTCTAATCATTTCTGTCATTTCTAGGTCTATTTGTATTGACTGATTTTTCACCTGGTCATGGTTCATACTAAAAGCTTCTCTATGTGTAGTCAAGTTTTAAATTTAGAACTCACACTGTGAACACCACATAGCTGAGCCACTTGACTTTGTTGTTTACCTCTAAAGAGGGTTTTCCTCTCCCAGGCAGTTAATTGACTTGGAAATGATTTTAATGCTTGGAGACTTGCTTTTCAGTTTTGCCAGGGTTTGTCTAGAGCTGCCTTTTTTTCTAGAAATTTACTAATTCTACTCCTAAAGTATGACTTTTCTGGAGTCTCTACTGTATTCCCAAGAGGTTCAGTGAGGTCTCTCCTCCAGCTGGTCAGAACTCCAGTATCCCAGAATGCTATGAGGGCTCTGTCCTCTTTATTGAGCTCACTGTTCAATCGCAGTTGCTATTCCTCAGGATATATTCTTTTCTCTACTTTCTTGTGGAACCTTTTTCTGGGCACATGCAACGTCATGTTTAGCCAAAGATTCGAGGAGACTACTATGCGTGCCCCTGGAGCTCCTTTCATCCACAAATCCATTCTCATTCTCAGCAGGCCTATAAAATCCTAGCTACCACAGTAGTCCCAAATTCCAATCTCTCTCCTGCATTCAGGAAGATGGCTACAGTCCATCTGGGCTCCATCACCTTGCTCTTCAGTGCAAGAAGGGCCTCCAGGAAGAAAGCCAAGGTATCTATGGAGTTGATCTCATTGTTCCCCCTGTCACTATTCTTTTGGTCCACTACTGTCTGTTGTCCAACATGTAGAAACCATTTTTCCATGTCTTTGGTGTCACTTATGGCCTAAAGCCTGGCCATGGGCTGGTCAGACCTGGGCTTCTGTCCATCTATCCACCCTTTTACTTTACAGGATCTCTCTCTTTGCTGACTCTCATCTGCCTTCCTGCCATTTTTATTCTCTAACAACCAGTATCCCTTCAGACCACTGGTGGTCAGAACCGACTGTGTTTCTACATATTGGAATAGACGTAGATATAGAAAGAGATAGATTTGCCTCTCCATAGATATACATATATACTTTCCTTGTAAGCCAAAACAGAAAACCCCAACAGAACCTTCACTTCAGGAATTGGAGTTTAGTTTAATAGAATTCCAAGGAGAAAAGGCTGCATTGAACCTTAGTGGGTGTTGTGGAAGGGTACTCTAAGAGTTTCATCATTTGTCATCTTGACTTGTTTCTTAATGTGATATCCTTGCCTCCAGATACCTTTCTGCTCCATTAAACTAGGAGGAAGGAGAGCCAGATTAACATTTGTCTTCTCTTAGACTCTTTGCTCAAAGACAATGTTCCTGAGACATTTTGCTATGCACTGTTCATCTGAGACAACTTGAGTCCTGAACACTCAGCTTGAAGCATGACTCTACTAACAGAAATTTCCACTGACCCTTCCTTCACTTATGGTAAAGAAAATAGACATACGCATTTGGGTAGTATGCTGGGGTCCGACTATGCGAGTGTGGTGTCATAGATGACCAAGCTTGGCAGGTTCTTCCTGTGACAGTAATGAAGTATGTGCCTTGATAACTCTGTCCATTTCCGTGGTAGCACTCCTGCACCCCAGGCCTTTGCTCAGTTGGTGCTGAAATGAAAAGAAAAGAAATCAAACTGAGTGTTTCCAAGAAGAGACAAACATGTGAAGCCACTTATGGCACAAACCAGAAAAAAGTCTCTGAGAATTATGACCTCAGGAGAATATGACAAGTAACATTCTTGTTTCTTTATTTGTAGGCAGATGGACTTGAGAAAAGCAACAACCAACCAACAAACAAAAACACCAAAGAAACAAATTCCTAACACTTTAGAACTGTAGTAAGTTCTTAGAAATATTTCACATAAAAGCTTAGAAAAAAAGGACAAATGAGAGGGCTTCTCAATGGAAACTGTGCTCACGTGCAAGCACATTTATGGGAATTTCTACTGAATGTTCATGAGGACTATGGGGCAGCAAACAGCAAAGCACGATGCATTTGGGGGTACAGGCCATACATGGTGATTGGGTGTTAGGGGCAGAGAAACGGACAGACATGAAAACAATGAACGTTTCATAACAAAAGGCAAGGTCTTCAGCTTCTGGGCCATGGGAGAGACAACAGTCCTTCGTCTAGGACTGCAGACAAAGACACTTCAGTTATCAGGGATGGGTGGAGGCGAACAGCTTACTCCCCTGCAGGAGAGATGAAATCCTCTCATGACCCACATCCTGAGTTGCAATAATACAGAAGTCTCCGACTCTTTCTATCCAGACCGCTCACAGGTACAACTGCCACCAGAACACGGGGCAGTCACTCACTTAAAAACCTAGGGCTGCAGAGCCCACCTATGACTGAGGAAGTCCTGAAACATAGATCATTGGGAGTTCATGTACTGCTCCATAGAACCAGGGTGATTTGGAATTAATGCAACCCTGTTAGCCCTGTTTCTCAAGGGTGACAGGCTCCAGAGCCACATTTCTCTGAATCTGCAATGCTGAAGATTGCACTGAATGCTGGCTAATTGAAGAAGTCCCAGGAAAAGCTTACTGGCTTGGAAAGAGTCACACATCTGACAGCATGTTACAATAAAAATTTTGGCTAAGACACTGAGATAGCCCATTTTTCAACGAGGTGAGTTGTGAAGTCGATCACCCTGGAGGGTTTGTGCCAATTCTAAAGACACAGCCCACCCAACGTTGTACCAGAAATCAATCCGCTGGCTCCCCCAGAGAGTGCACGGAGGCTTCCTCCTACATGACAGAACTCAGTCAACACTCGAGCATCCGTTTACCATTGGAGGCTGCTGCATCAGTGGGAATTTCCATGGCTTTTCATCCCAGCATCGAAACGTGTAGGTTTCTGGCCACAGGCTCCTTACCTTGTTCAGAAGGAGCCTCTAGGCTTGGAATCGGGGTAATAGTTGGAGGCGCGACGGCAGTCCCTTCTGCGTCTGAGCATTGTGTCAGGTTGCAGTACTCCCACCTGACACTGGGATCCCTCGTATAACAATAAGGGGCTGCCACAGGATCTGGATTCCTGCAGTAGTTCATGATCAAGCCACTGGAAATTCCAAAACGATACACGTCACAAGAGGTGGGACAATATGCAGGGGCACCCCACACCCTCTCCTTTGTGCTGCAACAAGGTCATTACCAGTGCCTTTCTAATATTCCCATAAAAGTACCATATGATTGCCACAAGCACAAATGGCTCTCAATCACTAATCCTGTCTGCACATTTCTCATACTTAAAAGATTATTATTATAAAAAAAAATCTAAAGTAGCAAACGCTTCTTAGAAACACTGAGATAATACATACACGTGGGCAAAAAACGATCAGAGTATTCTCCTTCTGCCTTCTGCCCAATCCATCTCTCTGGAATAACTGGTATGGATTTTGATGTGTGTATTGTGGAATCGTTTATTCACATACAAAAGTATCTGTATTTATCTAGTTCTCCGTATCTCTCTCGGTAGGACTTCATATTCTAATGTGCAAGTTGCAACTAACAGGTAGTTCTTCAGAAAAAACATGGGATCCAGGAGGATAACCTTTCCAGGTCAACCTTCACTCTCTATGTACTCAAAACCTCGCGAAAAGGCTCTACTTTTCCCATGGAAAAGCACTGTGCAAATTGTATTACTTTCTGTCATTCCCATATCATGTGGGTCAAATAGGTTTGTTTCTGCAAGACTTCTCAAAGCTGCCCTGGAAAACTTGCTCCCAGGCAGAATGCAGCATCTCTAGAATGGGTTCCTGGGCAGGACCTTCTCTCCTGCTCTCAGTCTACCCTCTGCTGGCCGCAGCTACTCTGCACTGAGGGAAAGGGGGATGAGTTGAAAGAACAGTGGGACCCATGGCATAAAGGAAGATGGCAGGGTAGACTAAGAGATCTGAAGAGGTCGGACAGCTACGGAGGAACACTGCATTAGGGGGCAAAGCAGGTAGGAGTTTGGGCTGCGGGGATCTTGAAGCATTTGCTCTTCCTTATGCCTCCCAAGAACGTTGCTCCAACCTCTCTCTATCCTCACATTCATGACCTGTGGCTGCCTGAGAAAATGGGAAATGTATTACGGGCCATGGGGATGAAACACTGTCTCTCTAGAGACTCTATACATGTGGCCTAGTGTCAATCCCAGACCCTCCATTCCAGGAAGCTGGTTCAATGAGCTACAGGATGTACTAAGAGCCCAAACTCGTGACAAATTTCTTTCTTCCTTGGCTTCTCTCTTTTGAATACATGGAATATTCTTATTATACAATATACCTCAGAGTTCAAAACTTTGTGATTGCTCTAGGATTTGCAATATCTCCTTGAACCCACACAGTAACATTTTATTAATATTACATACCATTGTGCATGAGGTAAGAAACTTACAATGGTACACTTCTAATTATTCCCTACATGATTTACGCTACTTGTTCAAATTCTTACCTCTACATATGCTAAAATTAAATATATTGCTATCATTTTGTTTCCAGTAGTCAACGCTCATTTAAAAATATATAGAAATTTGGTCAAGAAAATATTTTGCATTTACATCTACATTTGCCAATTGCTGGGTTCTTCATTACATGGGCTGCAGAAAGTTCCCTTCTTGTACTATTCTTCTTCTACCTAATTCCTTTGGGTCACCTCTCTTGTTACATCAGCCTGCTGATTCCAAATTCTTACAGTTTCCGGTTTCTTTGTTTGGGGCAGTGCACAACATACATTTATGCAGCATGGATGATCTTCAAGGCATTTTATTGCTGGATTTAGCATTCTTGGTTGATCTCTTCTTGTTCCTGTTTACCACATTAATAACATTCCCGGTATCTGGCTTCCAGTGTTTTTGACGAGAATGCATTAGCAATTTGTATCACTGTTCTTCTAGCAAGAAACAGCTTGTTTTTCCCCAGTTTCTCATAAGAAGTTTCTTGTTATTATATCTTTGTCTTCTTACCGTGAAAATGTGAAGTACAAAAGTGCATCATACCAGATTTTTTCTTTTTTTCGAAACGCCTATTTGATGCATTGAATTTCGTGTTTTTGCGATTTTGTTAATATTCTTGATCAATGAAAAGTTTTCGGCCATCCTTGATTCCGGTATTTGTTTCTGTTTCCAATCTCCCGTTCTCTTTTCTGTGACTTGCTTCCCATATGCAGGAAATCTTTTCCTATTTTGCAACATGTCTGTGAGGTTCGGTTGGTTTTCTATTTCACTATTTCTTGAGGGTTGTGTGTGTGTGTGTGTGTGTGTGAACTTGTGAGTTTTTGCGTGGGTGTGTATGGGTGTGTTGTATGTGTATATATGTGTGTAGTTGGTTCTGTAGAATTGATTTTTGGTTAGTTTCCTATTCAGAAATGTCTAAATTGATCAGGCAGCCATCCAGTAATTTTTTCTTTTAAGACATAGCTTTTTACACTAAGTCTTTAATTTGATTTGGCTAGTCAATACTGTTACTTTCTTTTGATATTTTATCTGTTTTATTACATATTCATCTTTTTTTAAATATTTGAAATAGTTATCTTAGTCATATGTCAAATTTTCATGCAATTCTTCTATTCTTCTTATACCTAATTCTTTCGGGTCACCTCTGTTGCTACATAAGCCTGCTGATTCCAAAGTCTTACACTTTCCAGTTTCTTTGTTTTGGGCAGTGCACAATATGCATTTATCCAACATGGATGATCTTCAAGGCATTTTATTGCTGGATTCAGCATTCTCGGTTGATCTCTTCTTGTTCCTCATTATCATTTTAATAATATTCCCTGGTATCTGGCTTCCAGTGTTTCTGAGGTGAACGCATTAGCAATTTGTATCACTGTACTCTAGGAAGACACAGCTCTTTTTTCTCCAGTTTCTCGTGAGATGTTTCTTCTTCTTATATCCTTGCCTTGTTACCTTTGAACTGTGATGTAGAGAAGTGCATCATGTAGTTTTTTTTCTCGAAATTTCCTATTTGATCCCTTTAGTTTCATGAATCTGTGATTTTTCTAACGTTCTTCATAATTGAAAAGTTATCAGCCATCCGTGATTCCGGTATTTGTATCTACTCCAAACTCCCTTGCTCTTTACTGTGACTTGCTTCCCACATGCAGGAAATCTTCTTATATTTTCCTGCATGTCTCTGAGGGTCGGTTAATTTTATATTTCCCTATTTCTTTAGGGATGTGCATGTGTGTGTGTGTTTGTGTGTGTGTTAGAACTTGTGAGTTTTTGCATGTGTGTGTGTATGGGTGTGTTTTGAATGTGTGTGTGTGTGGCTCATTCTGTAGGTTCTGCAGAATTGTTTTTGGTTAATTTTTTCTTCTGAAACATCTAAATTTTTCAGGCGGACATACAGTAATTTCTTCATTTAAGACATACTTTTTGTATAATAGTTCTTTAATTTGATTTGGCTATTCTATACTATTAATTTGTCTTGATATGATACCTGCTTTGTTGCACTTTTTTTAAATATCTGAAATCAGTTATCATACTGATATGTCAAATTTTCATGCAATTCTAATTATCGATGTCATTTCTGAGCCTGTTTGTATTGCCTGATTTATTTTCTGGTCATGGATCACACGAAATTCTTTTCTACACGTAGTCAAATTTTTAATTTAGGACTCACTCTGGGGATACCGCATAGCTGAGGCAATTGACTTTGTTGTTTACTTCTGAAGAGAGTTGAGATTTCCTCTCACAGGCACTTCATTGATTGGAAACCCATTTGATGCTTGGACACTTGCTTTTCAGCTGTGCAAGGGGTTGTCTGCAGCTGCCTTTATTCTAGTAATATACTAATTGTACTTTGAAATTATGGCTGTTCTGGGGTCTCCACTGAATTGGCAATGTGTTCCGTGAGCACTCTCTCATCTAGCTGGTAAGAACTCCAATAACACAGAGTGCTATGTGATCTCTATCTTCTTAATTGAGCTTGCTGTTCTCTTGTAGTTGCTGTTTCTCAGTAAATGTTCTTTGCCACACTTTCTGTAGAACCATTTTCTGTGCACATGCAGTGTCATGTGAGGCCAACTACTGGAGGAGACTTCTATGCGTATTTGTAGAGCTCCTTTCCTCCACAAACCAGTTCTTATTTGTAGCGGACCTAGAAAATACCAGAGTCATCCCAAACTCCAATCCCTCTCCTCTGCTCAGCTAGATGGCTACAGGCTGCTTGAGCTCCATCTCCTTGCTATTCAGTGCAGGAAGGGTATCCAGGAAGAAAGCCAAGGCATCTATGGAGTTGAGCTCATCATTGGCCCTCTCTCAATTCTCTAGGTCCTCTACCATCTGTTGTCCCACATGTAGAAACCATTTTTCCATGTCTTTGGTTGTTGATTATGGCCAAATGATTGGCCATGGGGTGGTCAGACCAGGGCTTCTATCCATCTACCCATCCCTTTTACTTTTCAGCATCCCTCTCTGTGCTGACTCTCATCTGCCTTCCTTCCTTGGATCTTCTCTTGCTGGGAACCTCTATCCTTTCAGGCCACTGGTACTTAGGACCAAGAGATTTTCTCCCTATTGGAATACAGGTAGAAATAGAAACAGATCAATTCACCTGTCCATAAGTAAGCACATAAACTTTCCTCATGAGCCCAGACAGAAAAGGCAAACACAATCTTCCCTTCAGGAATTGGAAGTCAGAATAACGGAATTCCAACTGGAAAGTCTTCATTGACGCTTAGTGGGTGTTGGGCAAGGGTAATCTAAGTGTTTGGTGGTTCGTCATTCTGACTTTCTTCATAAGGTGATCTCCTCGCCTCCTCATTTCCCTTCTGCTCCACAAAACTAGGAGGAAGGTGAGGCAGCTTAACATTTCTCTTCTCTCAGACCCTTAGCTCCAAGGAAATCATCCTGAGACATTTTGCTACACCATCTGAATCTGACACAAGTTGAGTTCGGAGAACTCAGCTTGAAGCATGTCTCTTGTCACAGAAACTTCAGTTGGCCCTTTATTCTCTTATGGTAAAGAACAAAGACATACGCATTTGGGTAGTATTCTGGGGTCCGACTATGCGAGTGTGGTGTCATAGATGACCAAGCTTGGCAGGTTCTTCCAGTGACAGTGGTGGAGTATGTGCCTCGATAACTCTGTCCATTACCGTGGTAGCACTCCTGCACCCCAGGCCTCTGCTCAGTCGGTGCTGAAATGAAAACACAAGAAATAAACTGAGTATCTCTGAGAATAACGAAATATGTGAAGCCATTTATGACACAACCAGAAAGGAGTCTATGAGAATTATGAACGTTATCTTTCCCTTACCTGTAGGCAGATGGATGGGAGAAAACCAACCAAAAAACATACAGCAAACCTACAGATTCCTACCAATCTAGAACTGTAGTAAGTTCTAGGAAATATTTCACCTGAAATCCTTAGAAAAACAGAACAGAACAGACTCCTTCTCACTGCAAAGTGCGCTCACGAAGTAGCACCTTTCTATGAAACTCTACTGAATGTTCATACAAAGGGCACTGCATTTGGCAATGCAGGATGCAGGTGGTAATTGGCTGTCGAGGGCAGAGGAGGGGAAAGACATGGAAATTTTGCATGTTTCCCTAGATCGTTGATCATGAAAGCCAAGGCCTCTGGCTTCCAGGCCATGGGGCAGAAAACGATCCTATATATCTGACTGAAGGCAAAGACACTTTGCTTCTCAAGGATGTGTGCACGCCAAAACCTTCTTCCCTTGGAGGAGGGAGGGAATCTTCTCATGCCCTGCATCCTGAATTGCAGTAAAGGAGAAGTCTACTAACCTTTCTCTCTAGACCCCTCACAGGTACAAGTGCCATCAGAAAGAGGTTTAAGAACACTGAGAAATCACTCCCTTCAAAGCCTAGGACTGAAGAGCCTTAGAGCATTGGGAGCTCATATACTGCTCCATAGACCCAGGACCATATGGAATTAATGCAGCCCTGTTAGGTTTCTCGAGGATGACAGGCTCCAGAGCCACATTTCTCAGAATCTGCAATGCTGAAGATTGCTCTGAATGCTGGCTACTTGAAGAAATCCCCGGAAAAGCTTACTGGCTTGGAAAGAGTGACACACCTGACAGCATGTTACAATAAAAATTTTGGCTGGGACACTGAGGTAGCCCGTTTTACAACAAGGTGAATTTTGAAGTCGATCCCCCTGGAGGGTTTGTGCCCATCCTAAAGACAAAGCCCAACCACGTTGCACCAGAAATCACTCCGCTGGCTCCCCCAGAGAGTGCACGGAGGCTTCCTCCTACATGGTAGAACTCAGGCAACACTCGAGCATCCGTTTACCATTGAAGGCGGCTGCATCAGTGGGAATTTCCATGGCTTTTCATCCCAGCATCGAAGCGTGTAGATGTCTGGCCACAGACTCCTTACCTTGTTCGGAAGGAGCCTCTAGGCTTGGAACCGGGGTAACAGTCGGAGGCGCGACGGCAGTCCCTTCTGCGTCTGAGCATTGCGTCAGGTTGCAGTACTCCCACCTGACACCGGGATCCCTCGTATAACAATAAGGAGCTGCCACAGCATCTGGATTCCTGCAGTAGTTCATGATCAAGCCACTGGAAATTCCAAAACGATACACGTCACAAGAGGTGGGACAACATGCAGGGGCACCCCACACTCTCTCCTTTGTGCTGCAACAAGGTCATTACCGGTGCCTTTCTAATATTCCCATTAAAAGTACCATATGATTGCCACCAGCAAAAATGGCTCTCGATCACTAATCGTCTCTGCACATCTCTCATACTTAATAGATTATTACTATTTTTTTTAAATAAAAAATCTAAAGTAGCAAACGCTTCTTAGAAACACTGAGATAACACACACACGTGGCCGAAAAACGATCAGAGTATTCTCCTTCTGCCTTCTGCCCAATCCATCTCTCTGGAATAACTGGTATGGGTTTTGACGTCTGTATTGTGGGATTGTGTATTCACATGCAAATGCATCTGTATCTGTCTAGTCTCCGTATCTCTCTCGGTAGGACTTCATATTCTAATGTGGGAGTTGCAACGAACATGTAGTTCTTCAGAAAACGCACGTCATCCAGGAGGATAGCCGTTCCAGGTCAACCCTCACACTCTATGTACTCAATACGTAGTGAAAAGGCTCTACCTTTCCCACAGAAAAGCATTGTGCAAATAGTATTACTGTCTGTCAGGTTTAGTAGGTTTGTTTCTCCAAGACTTCTCAAAGCTGCCCTGGAAAACTTGCTCCCAGGCAGGATGCAGTATCTCTAGAAGGGGTTCCTAGGCAGGTCCTTCTCTCCTGCTCTCAGTCTACCCTCTGCTGGCCGCAGCTACTCCGGGACTGAGGGAAAGGGGGATGAGTTGAAAGAACAGTGGGACCCATGGCATAAAGGAAGACGGCAGGGTGGACTAAGAGATCTGAAGAGGTCGGACAGCTACGGAGCAGCAGAGAAAAATGCATTAGGGGGCAAAGCAGGCGAGTAGTTTGGGCTGCGGGGATCTTGAAGCATTCGCTCTTCCTTATGCCTCCCAAGAACGTTGCTCCAACCTCCCAGTATCCTCACATTCATGACCTCTGGCTGCCTGAGAAAATGGGAAATGTATTATGGGCCATGGGGTTCCAACACTGTCTCTCTAGAGACTCTAGACTTGTGGCCTAGTCTCAACCCCAGACCCTCCATTCCAGGAAGCTGGTTCAATGAGCAACTGGATGTATAAGAGCCTGAGCTCTTGAAAGACTTCTAGTTCTTCCTTGGCTTCCCTCTTTTGAATGCATGGACTATTCTTATTATACCAAAAACCTCAGAGTTCAAACCTTTGTGATTGCTCTAGGATTTGCAATATCCCTTCGAACCCGCACAGTACCCTTTTATTAATATGACACACCATCGTGCATGAGGTAAAGAAACTTACAACGGTACACTTCGAATTAATCCCTTCGTGATTTATGCTACCATTTCAAATTCTTACCTCTACATATGCTGAAGTTAAATATCTTGCTATCATTTTGTTTCAAGTAGTCAACTCTCATTTACAAAGATATAGAAATTTGATCAAGAAAATATTTTGCATTTACATCTATCTACATTTGCCAATTGCTGGATTCTTCATTACGTGGGCTGCAGAAAGTTCCTTTCTTGTTCAATTCTTCTTCTACCTAATTCCTTCGGGTCACCTCTCTTGTTACATAAGCCTGCTGATTTCCAATTCTTACAGTTTCCGGTTTCTTTCTTTGGGGCAGTGCACAATATGCATTTATCCGACATGGATGACCTTCAAGGCATTTTATTGCTGGATTCAGCATTCCCGGTTGATCTCTTTTTGTTCCTGATTATCATTTTAACAATATTCCCTGGTATCTGGCTTCCAGTGTTTCTGAGGTGAACACATTGGCAATTTGTATCAGTGTACTTGTAGGAAGACACAGCTCTTTTTCCTCCAGTTTCTCGTGACAGGTTTCTTCTTATTACATCTTTGCCTTGTTACCTTCGAACTGTGATGTACAAAAGTACATCATACAGGTTGGGTTTTTTTTCCGAAATTCCCTATATGATCCCTTGAGTTTCACGATTCTGTGATTTTTTTTAATGTTCTTCGTAATTGAAAAGTTATCAGCCATCCTTGATTCTGGTATTTGTTTCTATTATAAACTCCCTTGCTCTTTACTGTGACTTGCTTCCCACATGCAGGAAATCTTTTCATATTTTCCTACATGTCTGTGAGGCTCGCTTAATTTTATATTTCACTGTTTCTTCAGGGGTGCGCGTGTCTGTGTGTGTTAGAACTTGTGAGTTTCTGCGTGTGTGTGAGTATGGGTGTGTTTTCAGTTTGTGTGTGTGTGTGTGTGTGTGTGTGTGTGTGTAGCTCATTCTGTAGGTTCTCTAAAATTGTGTGTTGGGTAATGTTTTCCTCTGAAACGTCTAATTTGATCAGCCGGCCATACAGTAATTTTTTTCAATTAAGACATACTTTTTTTATACTAGCTCTTTAATTTAATTTGGCTATTCTGTACTGTTAATTTCTCTTGATATGATATCTGCTTTCTTGCATGTTGTTTTTTTAAATATTTGAAATCAGTTATCATACTGATATGTCAAATTTTCACGCAATTCTAATCATTTCTCTCATTCCTGAGCCTGTTTGTATTACCCGATTTATTTCCTGGTCATGGGTCACACGAAACGCTTTTCTACATGTAGTCAGATTTTAAATTTAGGACTCACTCTGCGGATACCGCATAGCTGAGGCAATCGACTTTGTTGTTTACTTCTAAAGAGAGTTGAGATTTCCTCTCACAGGCACTTCATTGATTGGAAACCGATTTGATGCTTGGACACTTGCTTTCCAGCTGTGCAAGGGGTTGTCTGCAGCTGACTTTATTCTAGTAATATTCTAAGTGTACCTTTAAATTACGGCTGTTCTGGGGTCTCCACTGAATTGGCAATGTGCTCCGTGAGGACTCTCTGGTCTAGCTGGGAAGAACTCCAGTATCCCAGAGTGCTATGTGATCTCTCTCTTCTTTATTGAGCTTCCTGTGCTCTTGTACTTGCTGTTTCTCAGTAAATGTTCTTTGCCACACTTTCTCGTGGAACCATTTCCTGTGCACAGGCAGCGTCATGTCAGGCCAACGACTGGAGGAGACTTCTATGCGTATTTGTAGAGCTCTTTTCCTCCACACAAACCAGTTCTTATTTCTAGCAGACCTAGAAAAATTTCAGCTACCACAGTCATCCCAAACTCCAATCCCTCTCCTCCATTCAGCAAGATGGCTACAGTCTGCTTGGGCTCCATCTCCTTGCTATTCAGTGCAGGAAGGGTATCCAGGAAGAAAGCCAAGGCATCTGCGGAGTGGAGCCCATCATTGCCCCTCTCTCAATTCTCTAGGTCCTCTACCATCTGTTGTCCCACATGTAGAAACCATTTTTCCATGTCTCTGGTAGTCGCTTGTGGCCAAAATATTGGCCATTGGGTGGTCAGACCCGGGCTTCTCTCCATCCACCCATCCCTTTTACTTTTCAGCATCCCTCTCTGTGCTGACTCTCATCTGCCTTCCTTCCTTGGATCTTCTCTTGCTGGGAACCTGTATCCCTTCAGGCCACTGGTACTTAGGAACGAGTGTTTTTCTGACAATCGGAATATACGTAGATATAGAAACAGATCAATTCACCTGTCCATAAATAAGCACCTATTCTTTCCTCTTGAACCCAGAGAGAAAAGGCAAACGCAACCTTCCCTTCAGGAAGTGGAAGCCAGAATAACGGAATTCCAACTGGAAAGTCTCCATTGACGTTTAGTTGGTGTTGTGGAAGGGTAATCTAAGTGTCTGGTCCTTTGTCATTCTGACTTTCTTCATAATGTGATCTCCTCACCTCCAGATTTCCCTTCTGCTCAATAGAACTAGGAGGAAGGAGAGGGAGCTTAACATTTCCCTTCTCTCAGACCCTTAGCTCCAAGGCAATCATCCTGAGACATTTTGCTACGCCATCTGCATCTGTCACAAGTTGAGTTCGGAGAACTCAGCTTGAGACACATCTCTTGTAACAGAAACTTCACTTGGCCCTTTCTTCTCTTATGGTAAAGAACAAAGACATACGCATTTGGGTAGTATTCTGGGGTCCGACTATGCGAGTGTGGTGTCATAGATGACCAAGCTTGGCAGGTTCTTCCTGTGACAGTGGTGGAGTATGTGCCTCGATAACTCTGTCCATTACCATGGTAGCACTCCTGCACCCCAGGCCTTTGCTCAGTCGGTGCTGAAATGAAAACACGGGAAATCAAGCTGAGTATCTCTGAGCATAGAGAAACATGTGAAGCCATTTGTGACACAACCAGAAAGGAGTCTATGAGAATTACGACCGTTCTCTTTTCCTTATCCATAGGCAGATGGATGTGAGAAAACCGACCAACAAACAAACACCAAAGCAACAGATTCCTCCCATTCTAGAACTGTAGTAAGTTCTTGGAAATATTTCACCTGACACCTTAGAGAAACACAACAGATCAGATTCCTCATTGGAAAGTGAGCTCACGAGGTAGCACCTTTCTAGGAAACTCTACTGAATCTTCATGCAAACGGCACCGCATTTGGCAATGCGGGCTGCAGGTGGTAATTGGCTGTCGGGGGCAGAGTTTGGGACAGACATGGAAATTTTGCATGTTTCCCTAGACCGTTGATCATGAAAGCCAAGGCCTTTGGCTTCCGGGCCATGGGGCAGAAAACGGTCCTATGTATCTGACTGAAGACAAAGACACTTTGCTTCTCAGGGATGTGTGCACGCCAAAAGCTTCTTCCCTTGGAGGAGAGAGGGAATCCTCTCATGCCCTGCATCCTGAATTGTAGTAAAGTAGGAGTCTACTACTCTTTCTCTCTAGACCCCTCACAGGTACAAGTGTCATCAGAAAGAGGTTTAAGAATACTGAGAAATCACTCCCTTCAAAGCCTAGGGCTGAAGAGCCTTAGAGCACTGGGAGCTCATGTACTGCTCCATAGACCCAGGGCCACATGGAATCAATGCAGCCCTCTTAGGTTTCTCGAGGGTGACAGGCTCCAGAGCCACATTTCTCAGAATCTGCAATGCTGAAGATTGCTCTGAATGCTGGCTACTTGAAGAAATCCCCGGAAAAGCTTACTGGCTTGGAAAGAGTGACACACCTGACAGCATGTTACAATAAAAATTTTGGCTGGGACACTGAGGTAGCCCGTTTTACAACAAGGTGAATTTTGAAGTCGATCCCCCTGGAGGGTTTGTGCCCATCCTAAAGACAAAGCCCAACCACGTTGCACCAGAAATCACTCCGCTGGCTCCCCCAGAGAGTGCACGGAGGCTTCCTCCTACATGGTAGAACTCAGGCAACACTCGAGCATCCGTTTACCATTGAAGGCGGCTGCATCAGTGGGAATTTCCATGGCTTTTCATCCCAGCATCGAAGCGTGTAGATGTCTGGCCACAGACTCCTTACCTTGTTCGGAAGGAGCCTCTAGGCTTGGAACCGGGGTAACAGTCGGAGGCGCGACGGCAGTCCCTTCTGCGTCTGAGCATTGCGTCAGGTTGCAGTACTCCCACCTGACACCGGGATCCCTCGTATAACAATAAGGAGCTGCCACAGCATCTGGATTCCTGCAGTAGTTCATGATCAAGCCACTGGAAATTCCAAAACGATACACGTCACAAGAGGTGGGACAACATGCAGGGGCACCCCACACTCTCTCCTTTGTGCTGCAACAAGGTCATTACCGGTGCCTTTCTAATATTCCCATTAAAAGTACCATATGATTGCCACCAGCAAAAATGGCTCTCGATCACTAATCCTCTCTGCACATCTCTCATACTTAATAGATTATTACTATTTTTTTTAAATAAAAAATCTAAAGTAGCAAACGCTTCTTAGAAACACTGAGATAACACACACACGTGGCCGAAAAACGATCAGAGTATTCTCCTTCTGCCTTCTGCCCAATCCATCTCTCTGGAATAACTGGTATGGGTTTTGACGTCTGTATTGTGGGATTGTGTATTCACATGCAAATGCATCTGTATCTGTCTAGTCTCCGTATCTCTCTCGGTAGGACTTCATATTCTAATGTGGGAGTTGCAACGAACATGTAGTTCTTCAGAAAACGCACGTCATCCAGGAGGATAGCCGTTCCAGGTCAACCCTCACACTCTATGTACTCAATACGTAGTGAAAAGGCTCTACCTTTCCCACAGAAAAGCATTGTGCAAATAGTATTACTGTCTGTCAGGTTTAGTAGGTTTGTTTCTCCAAGACTTCTCAAAGCTGCCCTGGAAAACTTGCTCCCAGGCAGGATGCAGTATCTCTAGAAGGGGTTCCTAGGCAGGTCCTTCTCTCCTGCTCTCAGTCTACCCTCTGCTGGCCGCAGCTACTCCGGGACTGAGGGAAAGGGGGATGAGTTGAAAGAACAGTGGGACCCATGGCATAAAGGAAGACGGCAGGGTGGACTAAGAGATCTGAAGAGGTCGGACAGCTACGGAGCAGCAGAGAAAAATGCATTAGGGGGCAAAGCAGGCGAGTAGTTTGGGCTGCGGGGATCTTGAAGCATTCGCTCTTCCTTATGCCTCCCAAGAACGTTGCTCCAACCTCCCAGTATCCTCACATTCATGACCTCTGGCTGCCTGAGAAAATGGGAAATGTATTATGGGCCATGGGGTTCCAACACTGTCTCTCTAGAGACTCTAGACTTGTGGCCTAGTCTCAACCCCAGACCCTCCATTCCAGGAAGCTGGTTCAATGAGCAACTGGATGTATAAGAGCCTGAGCTCTTGAAAGACTTCTAGTTCTTCCTTGGCTTCCCTCTTTTGAATGCATGGACTATTCTTATTATACCAAAAACCTCAGAGTTCAAACCTTTGTGATTGCTCTAGGATTTGCAATATCCCTTCGAACCCGCACAGTACCCTTTTATTAATATGACACACCATCGTGCATGAGGTAAAGAAACTTACAACGGTACACTTCGAATTAATCCCTTCGTGATTTATGCTACCATTTCAAATTCTTACCTCTACATATGCTGAAGTTAAATATCTTGCTATCATTTTGTTTCAAGTAGTCAACTCTCATTTACAAAGATATAGAAATTTGATCAAGAAAATATTTTGCATTTACATCTATCTACATTTGCCAATTGCTGGATTCTTCATTACGTGGGCTGCAGAAAGTTCCTTTCTTGTTCAATTCTTCTTCTACCTAATTCCTTCGGGTCACCTCTCTTGTTACATAAGCCTGCTGATTTCCAATTCTTACAGTTTCCGGTTTCTTTCTTTGGGGCAGTGCACAATATGCATTTATCCGACATGGATGACCTTCAAGGCATTTTATTGCTGGATTCAGCATTCCCGGTTGATCTCTTTTTGTTCCTGATTATCATTTTAACAATATTCCCTGGTATCTGGCTTCCAGTGTTTCTGAGGTGAACACATTGGCAATTTGTATCAGTGTACTTGTAGGAAGACACAGCTCTTTTTCCTCCAGTTTCTCGTGACAGGTTTCTTCTTATTATATCTTTGCCTTGTTACCTTCGAACTGTGATGTACAAAAGTACATCATACAGGTTGGGTTTTTTTTCCGAAATTCCCTATGTGATCCCTTGAGTTTCACGATTCTGTGATTTTTTTTAATGTTCTTCGTAATTGAAAAGTTATCAGCCATCCTTGATTCCGGTATTTGTTTCTATTCCAAACTCCCTTGCTCTTTACTGTGACTTGCTTCCCACATGCAGGAAATCTTTTCATATTTTCCTACATGTCTGTGAGGCTCGCTTAATTTTATATTTCACTGTTTCTTCAGGGGTGCGCGTGTCTGTGTGTGTTAGAACTTGTGAGTTTCTGCGTGTGTGTGAGTATGGGTGTGTTTTCAGTTTGTGTGTGTGTGTGTGTGTGTGTGTGTAGCTCATTCTGTAGGTTCTCTAGAATTGTGTGTTGGGTAATGTTTTCCTCTGAAACGTCTAAATTGATCAGCCGGCCATACAGTAATTTTTTTCAATTAAGACATACTTTTTTTATACTACCTCTTTAATTTAATTTGGCTATTCTGTACTGTTAATTTCTCTTGATATGATATCTGCTTTCTTGCATGTTGTTTTTTTAAATATTTGAAATCAGTTATCATACTGATATGTCAAATTTTCACGCAATTCTAATCATTTCTCTCATTCCTGAGCCTGTTTGTATTACCCGATTTATTTCCTGGTCATGGGTCACACGAAACGCTTTTCTACATGTAGTCAGATTTTAAATTTAGGACTCACTCTGCGGATACCGCATAGCTGAGGCAATCGACTTTGTTGTTTACTTCTAAAGAGAGTTGAGATTTCCTCTCACAGGCACTTCATTGATTGGAAACCGATTTGATGCTTGGACACTTGCTTTCCAGCTGTGCAAGGGGTTGTCTGCAGCTGACTTTATTCTAGTAATATACTAAGTGTACCTTTAAATTACGGCTGTTCTGGGGTCTCCACTGAATTGGCAATGTGCTCCGTGAGGACTCTCTGGTCTAGCTGGGAAGAACTCCAGTATCCCAGAGTGCTATGTGATCTCTCTCTTCTTTATTGAGCTTCCTGTGCTCTTGTACTTGCTGTTTCTCAGTAAATGTTCTTTGCCACACTTTCTCGTGGAACCATTTCCTGTGCACAGGCAGCGTCATGTCAGGCCAACGACTGGAGGAGACTTCTATGCGTATTTGTAGAGCTCTTTTCCTCCACACAAACCAGTTCTTATTTCTAGCAGACCTAGAAAAATTTCAGCTACCACAGTCATCCCAAACTCCAATCCCTCTCCTCCATTCAGCAAGATGGCTACAGTCTGCTTGGGCTCCATCTCCTTGCTATTCAGTGCAGGAAGGGTATCCAGGAAGAAAGCCAAGGCATCTGCGGAGTGGAGCCCATCATTGCCCCTCTCTCAATTCTCTAGGTCCTCTACCATCTGTTGTCCCACATGTAGAAACCATTTTTCCATGTCTCTGGTAGTCGCTTGTGGCCAAAATATTGGCCATTGGGTGGTCAGACCCGGGCTTCTCTCCATCCACCCATCCCTTTTACTTTTCAGCATCCCTCTCTGTGCTGACTCTCATCTGCCTTCCTTCCTTGGATCTTCTCTTGCTGGGAACCTGTATCCCTTCAGGCCACTGGTACTTAGGAACGAGTGTTTTTCTGACAATCGGAATATACGTAGATATAGAAACAGATCAATTCACCTGTCCATAAATAAGCACCTATTCTTTCCTCTTGAACCCAGAGAGAAAAGGCAAACGCAACCTTCCCTTCAGGAAGTGGAAGCCAGAATAACGGAATTCCAACTGGAAAGTCTCCATTGACGTTTAGTTGGTGTTGTGGAAGGGTAATCTAAGTGTCTGGTCCTTTGTCATTCTGACTTTCTTCATAATGTGATCTTCTCACCTCCAGATTTCCCTTCTGCTCAATAGAACTAGGAGGAAGGAGAGGGAGCTTAACATTTCCCTTCTCTCAGACCCTTAGCTCCAAGGCAATCATCCTGAGACATTTTGCTACGCCATCTGCATCTGTCACAAGTTGAGTTCGGAGAACTCAGCTTGAGACACATCTCTTGTAACAGAAACTTCACTTGGCCCTTTCTTCTCTTATGGTAAAGAACAAAGACATACGCATTTGGGTAGTATTCTGGGGTCCGACTATGCGAGTGTGGTGTCATAGATGACCAAGCTTGGCAGGTTCTTCCTGTGACAGTGGTGGAGTATGTGCCTCGATAACTCTGTCCATTACCATGGTAGCACTCCTGCACCCCAGGCCTTTGCTCAGTCGGTGCTGAAATGAAAACACGGGAAATCAAGCTGAGTATCTCTGAGCATAGAGAAACATGTGAAGCCATTTGTGACACAACCAGAAAGGAGTCTATGAGAATTACGACCGTTCTCTTTTCCTTATCCATAGGCAGATGGATGTGAGAAAACCGACCAACAAACAAACACCAAAGCAACAGATTCCTCCCATTCTAGAACTGTAGTAAGTTCTTGGAAATATTTCACCTGACACCTTAGAGAAACACAACAGATCAGATTCCTCATTGGAAAGTGAGCTCACGAGGTAGCACCTTTCTAGGAAACTCTACTGAATCTTCATGCAAACGGCACCGCATTTGGCAATGCGGGCTGCAGGTGGTAATTGGCTGTCGGGGGAAGAGTTTGGGACAGACATGGAAATTTTGCATGTTTCCCTAGACCGTTGATCATGAAAGCCAAGGCCTTTGGCTTCCGGGCCATGGGGCAGAAAACGGTCCTATGTATCTGACTGAAGACAAAGACACTTTGCTTCTCAGGGATGTGTGCACGCCAAAAGCTTCTTCCCTTGGAGGAGAGAGGGAATCCTCTCATGCCCTGCATCCTGAATTGTAGTAAAGTAGGAGTCTACTACTCTTTCTCTCTAGACCCCTCACAGGTACAAGTGTCATCAGAAAGAGGTTTAAGAATACTGAGAAATCACTCCCTTCAAAGCCTAGGGCTGAAGAGCCTTAGAGCACTGGGAGCTCATGTACTGCTCCATAGACCCAGGGCCACATGGAATCAATGCAGCCCTCTTAGGTTTCTCGAGGGTGACAGGCTCCAGAGCCACATTTCTCAGAATCTGCAATGCTGAAGATTGCTCTGAATGCTGGCTACTTGAAGAAATCCCCGGAAAAGCTTACTGGCTTGGAAAGAGTGACACACCTGACAGCATGTTACAATAAAAATTTTGGCTGGGACACTGAGGTAGCCCGTTTTACAACAAGGTGAATTTTGAAGTCGATCCCCCTGGAGGGTTTGTGCCCATCCTAAAGACAAAGCCCAACCACGTTGCACCAGAAATCACTCCGCTGGCTCCCCCAGAGAGTGCACGGAGGCTTCCTCCTACATGGTAGAACTCAGGCAACACTCGAGCATCCGTTTACCATTGAAGGCGGCTGCATCAGTGGGAATTTCCATGGCTTTTCATCCCAGCATCGAAGCGTGTAGATGTCTGGCCACAGACTCCTTACCTTGTTCGGAAGGAGCCTCTAGGCTTGGAACCGGGGTAACAGTCGGAGGCGCGACGGCAGTCCCTTCTGCGTCTGAGCATTGCGTCAGGTTGCAGTACTCCCACCTGACACCGGGATCCCTCGTATAACAATAAGGAGCTGCCACAGCATCTGGATTCCTGCAGTAGTTCATGATCAAGCCACTGGAAATTCCAAAACGATACACGTCACAAGAGGTGGGACAACATGCAGGGGCACCCCACACTCTCTCCTTTGTGCTGCAACAAGGTCATTACCGGTGCCTTTCTAATATTCCCATTAAAAGTACCATATGATTGCCACCAGCAAAAATGGCTCTCGATCACTAATCCTCTCTGCACATCTCTCATACTTAATAGATTATTACTATTTTTTTTAAATAAAAAATCTAAAGTAGCAAACGCTTCTTAGAAACACTGAGATAACACACACACGTGGCCGAAAAACGATCAGAGTATTCTCCTTCTGCCTTCTGCCCAATCCATCTCTCTGGAATAACTGGTATGGGTTTTGACGTCTGTATTGTGGGATTGTGTATTCACATGCAAATGCATCTGTATCTGTCTAGTCTCCGTATCTCTCTCGGTAGGACTTCATATTCTAATGTGGGAGTTGCAACGAACATGTAGTTCTTCAGAAAACACACGTCATCCAGGAGGATAGCCGTTCCAGGTCAACCCTCACACTCTATGTACTCAATACGTAGTGAAAAGGCTCTACCTTTCCCACAGAAAAGCATTGTGCAAATAGTATTACTGTCTGTCAGGTTTAGTAGGTTTGTTTCTCCAAGACTTCTCAAAGCTGCCCTGGAAAACTTGCTCCCAGGCAGGATGCAGTATCTCTAGAAGGGGTTCCTAGGCAGGTCCTTCTCTCCTGCTCTCAGTCTACCCTCTGCTGGCCGCAGCTACTCCGGGACTGAGGGAAAGGGGGATGAGTTGAAAGAACAGTGGGACCCATGGCATAAAGGAAGACGGCAGGGTGGACTAAGAGATCTGAAGAGGTCGGACAGCTACGGAGCAGCAGAGAAAAATGCATTAGGGGGCAAAGCAGGCGAGTAGTTTGGGCTGCGGGGATCTTGAAGCATTCGCTCTTCCTTATGCCTCCCAAGAACGTTGCTCCAACCTCCCAGTATCCTCACATTCATGACCTCTGGCTGCCTGAGAAAATGGGAAATGTATTATGGGCCATGGGGTTCCAACACTGTCTCTCTAGAGACTCTAGACTTGTGGCCTAGTCTCAACCCCAGACCCTCCATTCCAGGAAGCTGGTTCAATGAGCAACTGGATGTATAAGAGCCTGAGCTCTTGAAAGACTTCTAGTTCTTCCTTGGCTTCCCTCTTTTGAATGCATGGACTATTCTTATTATACCAAAAACCTCAGAGTTCAAACCTTTGTGATTGCTCTAGGATTTGCAATATCCCTTCGAACCCGCACAGTACCCTTTTATTAATATGACACACCATCGTGCATGAGGTAAAGAAACTTACAACGGTACACTTCGAATTAATCCCTTCGTGATTTATGCTACCATTTCAAATTCTTACCTCTACATATGCTGAAGTTAAATATCTTGCTATCATTTTGTTTCAAGTAGTCAACTCTCATTTACAAAGATATAGAAATTTGATCAAGAAAATATTTTGCATTTACATCTATCTACATTTGCCAATTGCTGGATTCTTCATTACGTGGGCTGCAGAAAGTTCCTTTCTTGTTCAATTCTTCTTCTACCTAATTCCTTCGGGTCACCTCTCTTGTTACATAAGCCTGCTGATTTCCAATTCTTACAGTTTCCGGTTTCTTTCTTTGGGGCAGTGCACAATATGCATTTATCCGACATGGATGATCTTCAAGGCATTTTATTGCTGGATTCAGCATTCCCGGTTGATCTCTTTTTGTTCCTGATTATCATTTTAACAATATTCCCTGGTATCTGGCTTCCAGTGTTTCTGAGGTGAACACATTGGCAATTTGTATCAGTGTACTTGTAGGAAGACACAGCTCTTTTTCCTCCAGTTTCTCGTGACAGGTTTCTTCTTATTATATCTTTGCCTTGTTACCTTCGAACTGTGATGTACAAAAGTACATCATACAGGTTGGGTTTTTTTTCCGAAATTCCCTATGTGATCCCTTGAGTTTCACGATTCTGTGATTTTTTTTAATGTTCTTCGTAATTGAAAAGTTATCAGCCATCCTTGATTCTGGTATTTGTTTCTATTCCAAACTCCCTTGCTCTTTACTGTGACTTGCTTCCCACATGCAGGAAATCTTTTCATATTTTCCTACATGTCTGTGAGGCTCGCTTAATTTTATATTTCACTGTTTCTTCAGGGGTGCGCGTGTCTGTGTGTGTTAGAACTTGTGAGTTTCTGCGTGTGTGTGAGTATGGGTGTGTTTTCAGTTTGTGTGTGTGTGTGTGTGTGTGTGTGTAGCTCATTCTGTAGGTTCTCTAGAATTGTGTGTTGGGTAATGTTTTCCTCTGAAACGTCTAAATTGATCAGCCGGCCATACAGTAATTTTTTTCAATTAAGACATACTTTTTTTATACTAGCTCTTTAATTTAATTTGGCTATTCTGTACTGTTAATTTCTCTTGATATGATATCTGCTTTCTTGCATGTTGTTTTTTTAAATATTTGAAATCAGTTATCATACTGATATTTCAAATTTTCACGCAATTCTAATCATTTCTCTCATTCCTGAGCCTGTTTGTATTACCCGATTTATTTCCTGGTCATGGGTCACACGAAACGCTTTTCTACATGTAGTCAGATTTTAAATTTAGGACTCACTCTGCGGATACCGCATAGCTGAGGCAATCGACTTTGTTGTTTACTTCTAAAGAGAGTTGAGATTTCCTCTCACAGGCACTTCATTGATTGGAAACCGATTTGATGCTTGGACACTTGCTTTCCAGCTGTGCAAGGGGTTGTCTGCAGCTGACTTTATTCTAGTAATATACTAAGTGTACCTTTAAATTACGGCTGTTCTGGGGTCTCCACTGAATTGGCAATGTGCTCCGTGAGGACTCTCTGGTCTAGCTGGGAAGAACTCCAGTATCCCAGAGTGCTATGTGATCTCTCTCTTCTTTATTGAGCTTCCTGTGCTCTTGTACTTGCTGTTTCTCAGTAAATGTTCTTTGCCACACTTTCTCGTGGAACCATTTCCTGTGCACAGGCAGCGTCATGTCAGGCCAACGACTGGAGGAGACTTCTATGCGTATTTGTAGAGCTCTTTTCCTCCACAAACCAGTTCTTATTTCTAGCAGACCTAGAAAAATTTCAGCTACCACAGTCATCCCAAACTCCAATCCCTCTCCTCCATTCAGCAAGATGGCTACAGTCTGCTTGGGCTCCATCTCCTTGCTATTCAGTGCAGGAAGGGTATCCAGGAAGAAAGCCAAGGCATCTGCGGAGTGGAGCCCATCATTGCCCCTCTCTCAATTCTCTAGGTCCTCTACCATCTGTTGTCCCACATGTAGAAACCATTTTTCCATGTCTCTGGTAGTCGCTTGTGGCCAAAATATTGGCCATTGGGTGGTCAGACCCGGGCTTCTCTCCATCCACCCATCCCTTTTACTTTTCAGCATCCCTCTCTGTGCTGACTCTCATCTGCCTTCCTTCCTTGGATCTTCTCTTGCTGGGAACCTGTATCCCTTCAGGCCACTGGTACTTAGGAACGAGTGTTTTTCTGACAATCGGAATATACGTAGATATAGAAACAGATCAATTCACCTGTCCATAAATAAGCACCTATTCTTTCCTCTTGAACCCAGAGAGAAAAGGCAAACGCAACCTTCCCTTCAGGAAGTGGAAGCCAGAATAACGGAATTCCAACTGGAAAGTCTCCATTGACGTTTAGTTGGTGTTGTGGAAGGGTAATCTAAGTGTCTGGTCCTTTGTCATTCTGACTTTCTTCATAATGTGATCTCCTCACCTCCAGATTTCCCTTCTGCTCAATAGAACTAGGAGGAAGGAGAGGGAGCTTAACATTTCCCTTCTCTCAGACCCTTAGCTCCAAGGCAATCATCCTGAGACATTTTGCTACGCCATCTGCATCTGTCACAAGTTGAGTTCGGAGAACTCAGCTTGAGACACATCTCTTGTAACAGAAACTTCACTTGGCCCTTTCTTCTCTTATGGTAAAGAACAAAGACATACGCATTTGGGTAGTATTCTGGGGTCCGACTATGCGAGTGTGGTGTCATAGATGACCAAGCTTGGCAGGTTCTTCCTGTGACAGTGGTGGAGTATGTGCCTCGATAACTCTGTCCATTACCATGGTAGCACTCCTGCACCCCAGGCCTTTGCTCAGTCGGTGCTGAAATGAAAACACGGGAAATCAAGCTGAGTATCTCTGAGCATAGAGAAACATGTGAAGCCATTTGTGACACAACCAGAAAGGAGTCTATGAGAATTACGACCGTTCTCTTTTCCTTATCCATAGGCAGATGGATGTGAGAAAACCGACCAACAAACAAACACCAAAGCAACAGATTCCTCCCATTCTAGAACTGTAGTAAGTTCTTGGAAATATTTCACCTGACACCTTAGAGAAACACAACAGATCAGATTCCTCATTGGAAAGTGAGCTCACGAGGTAGCACCTTTCTAGGAAACTCTACTGAATCTTCATGCAAACGGCACCGCATTTGGCAATGCGGGCTGCAGGTGGTAATTGGCTGTCGGGGGCAGAGTTTGGGACAGACATGGAAATTTTGCATGTTTCCCTAGACCGTTGATCATGAAAGCCAAGGCCTTTGGCTTCCGGGCCATGGGGCAGAAAACGGTCCTATGTATCTGACTGAAGACAAAGACACTTTGCTTCTCAGGGATGTGTGCACGCCAAAAGCTTCTTCCCTTGGAGGAGAGAGGGAATCCTCTCATGCCCTGCATCCTGAATTGTAGTAAAGTAGGAGTCTACTACTCTTTCTCTCTAGACCCCTCACAGGTACAAGTGTCATCAGAAAGAGGTTTAAGAATACTGAGAAATCACTCCCTTCAAAGCCTAGGGCTGAAGAGCCTTAGAGCACTGGGAGCTCATGTACTGCTCCATAGACCCAGGGCCACATGGAATCAATGCAGCCCTCTTAGGTTTCTCGAGGGTGACAGGCTCCAGAGCCACATTTCTCAGAATCTGCAATGCTGAAGATTGCTCTGAATGCTGGCTACTTGAAGAAATCCCCGGAAAAGCTTACTGGCTTGGAAAGAGTGACACACCTGACAGCATGTTACAATAAAAATTTTGGCTGGGACACTGAGGTAGCCCGTTTTACAACAAGGTGAATTTTGAAGTCGATCCCCCTGGAGGGTTTGTGCCCATCCTAAAGACAAAGCCCAACCACGTTGCACCAGAAATCACTCCGCTGGCTCCCCCAGAGAGTGCACGGAGGCTTCCTCCTACATGGTAGAACTCAGGCAACACTCGAGCATCCGTTTACCATTGAAGGCGGCTGCATCAGTGGGAATTTCCATGGCTTTTCATCCCAGCATCGAAGCGTGTAGATGTCTGGCCACAGACTCCTTACCTTGTTCGGAAGGAGCCTCTAGGCTTGGAACCGGGGTAACAGTCGGAGGCGCGACGGCAGTCCCTTCTGCGTCTGAGCATTGCGTCAGGTTGCAGTACTCCCACCTGACACCGGGATCCCTCGTATAACAATAAGGAGCTGCCACAGCATCTGGATTCCTGCAGTAGTTCATGATCAAGCCACTGGAAATTCCAAAACGATACACGTCACAAGAGGTGGGACAACATGCAGGGGCACCCCACACTCTCTCCTTTGTGCTGCAACAAGGTCATTACCGGTGCCTTTCTAATATTCCCATTAAAAGTACCATATGATTGCCACCAGCAAAAATGGCTCTCGATCACTAATCCTCTCTGCACATCTCTCATACTTAATAGATTATTACTATTTTTTTTAAATAAAAAATCTAAAGTAGCAAACGCTTCTTAGAAACACTGAGATAACACACACACGTGGCCGAAAAACGATCAGAGTATTCTCCTTCTGCCTTCTGCCCAATCCATCTCTCTGGAATAACTGGTATGGGTTTTGACGTCTGTATTGTGGGATTGTGTATTCACATGCAAATGCATCTGTATCTGTCTAGTCTCCGTATCTCTCTCGGTAGGACTTCATATTCTAATGTGGGAGTTGCAACGAACATGTAGTTCTTCAGAAAACGCACGTCATCCAGGAGGATAGCCGTTCCAGGTCAACCCTCACACTCTATGTACTCAATACGTAGTGAAAAGGCTCTACCTTTCCCACAGAAAAGCATTGTGCAAATAGTATTACTGTCTGTCAGGTTTAGTAGGTTTGTTTCTCCAAGACTTCTCAAAGCTGCCCTGGAAAACTTGCTCCCAGGCAGGATGCAGTATCTCTAGAAGGGGTTCCTAGGCAGGTCCTTCTCTCCTGCTCTCAGTCTACCCTCTGCTGGCCGCAGCTACTCCGGGACTGAGGGAAAGGGGGATGAGTTGAAAGAACAATGGGACCCATGGCATAAAGGAAGACGGCAGGGTGGACTAAGAGATCTGAAGAGGTCGGACAGCTACGGAGCAGCAGAGAAAAATGCATTAGGGGGCAAAGCAGGCGAGTAGTTTGGGCTGCGGGGATCTTGAAGCATTCGCTCTTCCTTATGCCTCCCAAGAACGTTGCTCCAACCTCCCAGTATCCTCACATTCATGACCTCTGGCTGCCTGAGAAAATGGGAAATGTATTATGGGCCATGGGGTTCCAACACTGTCTCTCTAGAGACTCTAGACTTGTGGCCTAGTCTCAACCCCAGACCCTCCATTCCAGGAAGCTGGTTCAATGAGCAACTGGATGTATAAGAGCCTGAGCTCTTGAAAGACTTCTAGTTCTTCCTTGGCTTCCCTCTTTTGAATGCATGGACTATTCTTATTATACCAAAAACCTCAGAGTTCAAACCTTTGTGATTGCTCTAGGATTTGCAATATCCCTTCGAACCCGCACAGTACCCTTTTATTAATATGACACACCATCGTGCATGAGGTAAAGAAACTTACAACGGTACACTTCGAATTAATCCCTTCGTGATTTATGCTACCATTTCAAATTCTTACCTCTACATATGCTGAAGTTAAATATCTTGCTATCATTTTGTTTCAAGTAGTCAACTCTCATTTACAAAGATATAGAAATTTGATCAAGAAAATATTTTGCATTTACATCTATCTACATTTGCCAATTGCTGGATTCTTCATTACGTGGGCTGCAGAAAGTTCCTTTCTTGTTCAATTCTTCTTCTACCTAATTCCTTCGGGTCACCTCTCTTGTTACATAAGCCTGCTGATTTCCAATTCTGACAGTTTCCGGTTTCTTTCTTTGGGGCAGTGCACAATATGCATTTATCCGACATGGATGATCTTCAAGGCATTTTATTGCTGGATTCAGCATTCCCGGTTGATCTCTTTTTGTTCCTGATTATCATTTTAACAATATTCCCTGGTATCTGGCTTCCAGTGTTTCTGAGGTGAACACATTGGCAATTTGTATCAGTGTACTTGTAGGAAGACACAGCTCTTTTTCCTCCAGTTTCTCGTGACAGGTTTCTTCTTATTATATCTTTGCCTTGTTACCTTCGAACTGTGATGTACAAAAGTACATCATACAGGTTGGGTTTTTTTTCCGAAATTCCCTATATGATCCCTTGAGTTTCACGATTCTGTGATTTTTTTTAATGTTCTTCGTAATTGAAAAGTTATCAGCCATCCTTGATTCCGGTATTTGTTTCTATTCCAAACTCCCTTGCTCTTTACTGTGACTTGCTTCCCACATGCAGGAAATCTTTTCATATTTTCCTACATGTCTGTGAGGCTCGCTTAATTTTATATTTCACTGTTTCTTCAGGGGTGCGCGTGTCTGTGTGTGTTAGAACTTGTGAGTTTCTGCGTGTGTGTGAGTATGGGTGTGTTTTCAGTGTGTGTGTGTGTGTGTGTGTGTGTGTGTGTAGCTCATTCTGTAGGTTCTCTAGAATTGTGTGTTGGGTAATGTTTTCCTCTGAAACGTCTAATTTGATCAGCCGGCCATACAGTAATTTTTTTCAATTAAGACATACTTTTTTTATACTAGCTCTTTAATTTAATTTGGCTATTCTGTACTGTTAATTTCTCTTGATATGATATCTGCTTTCTTGCATGTTGTTTTTTTAAATATTTGAAATCAGTTATCATACTGATATGTCAAATTTTCACGCAATTCTAATCATTTCTCTCATTCCTGAGCCTGTTTGTATTACCCGATTTATTTCCTGGTCATGGGTCACACGAAACGCTTTTCTACATGTAGTCAGATTTTAAATTTAGGACTCACTCTGCGGATACCGCATAGCTGAGGCAATCGACTTTGTTGTTTACTTCTAAAGAGAGTTGAGATTTCCTCCCACAGGCACTTCATTGATTGGAAACCGATTTGATGCTTGGACACTTGCTTTCCAGCTGTGCAAGGGGTTGTCTGCAGCTGACTTTATTCTAGTAATATACTAAGTGTACCTTTAAATTACGGCTGTTCTGGGGTCTCCACTGAATTGGCAATGTGCTCCGTGAGGACTCTCTGGTCTAGCTGGGAAGAACTCCAGTATCCCAGAGTGCTATGTGATCTCTCTCTTCTTTATTGAGCTTCCTGTGCTCTTGTACTTGCTGTTTCTCAGTAAATGTTCTTTGCCACACTTTCTCGTGGAACCATTTCCTGTGCACAGGCAGCGTCATGTCAGGCCAACGACTGGAGGAGACTTCTATGCGTATTTGTAGAGCTCTTTTCCTCCACAAACCAGTTCTTATTTCTAGCAGACCTAGAAAAATTTCAGCTACCACAGTCATCCCAAACTCCAATCCCTCTCCTCCATTCAGCAAGATGGCTACAGTCTGCTTGGGCTCCATCTCCTTGCTATTCAGTGCAGGAAGGGTATCCAGGAAGAAAGCCAAGGCATCTGCGGAGTGGAGCCCATCATTGCCCCTCTCTCAATTCTCTAGGTCCTCTACCATCTGTTGTCCCACATGTAGAAACCATTTTTCCATGTCTCTGGTAGTCGCTTGTGGCCAAAATATTGGCCATTGGGTGGTCAGACCCGGGCTTCTCTCCATCCACCCATCCCTTTTACTTTTCAGCATCCCTCTCTGTGCTGGCTCTCATCTGCCTTCCTTCCTTGGATCTTCTCTTGCTGGGAACCTGTATCCCTTCAGGCCACTGGTACTTAGGAACGAGTGTTTTTCTGACAATCGGAATATACGTAGATATAGAAACAGATCAATTCACCTGTCCATAAATAAGCACCTATTCTTTCCTCTTGAACCCAGAGAGAAAAGGCAAACGCAACCTTCCCTTCAGGAAGTGGAAGCCAGAATAACGGAATTCCAACTGGAAAGTCTCCATTGACGTTTAGTTGGTGTTGTGGAAGGGTAATCTAAGTGTCTGGTCCTTTGTCATTCTGACTTTCTTCATAATGTGATCTCCTCACCTCCAGATTTCCCTTCTGCTCAATAGAACTAGGAGGAAGGAGAGGGAGCTTAACATTTCCCTTCTCTCAGACCCTTAGCTCCAAGGCAATCATCCTGAGACATTTTGCTACGCCATCTGCATCTGTCACAAGTTGAGTTCGGAGAACTCAGCTTGAGACACATCTCTTGTAACAGAAACTTCACTTGGCCCTTTCTTCTCTTATGGTAAAGAACAAAGACATACGCATTTGGGTAGTATTCTGGGGTCCGACTATGCGAGTGTGGTGTCATAGATGACCAAGCTTGGCAGGTTCTTCCAGTGACAGTGGTGGAGTATGTGCCTCGATAACTCTGTCCATTACCGTGGTAGCACTCCTGCACCCCAGGCCTCTGCTCAGTCGGTGCTGAAATGAAAACACAAGAAATAAACTGAGTATCTCTGAGAATAACGAAATATGTGAAGCCATTTATGACACAACCAGAAAGGAGTCTATGAGAATTACGAACGTTATCTTTCCCTTACCTGTAGGCAGATGGATGGGAGAAAACCAACCAAAAAACATACAGCAAACCTACAGATTCCTACCAATCTAGAACTGTAGTAAGTTCTAGGAAATATTTCACCTGAAATCCTTAGAAAAACAGAACAGAACAGACTCCTTCTCACTGCAAAGTGCGCTCACGAAGTAGCACCTTTCTATGAAACTCTACTGAATGTTCATACAAAGGGCACTGCATTTGGCAATGCAGGATGCAGGTGGTAATTGGCTGTCGAGGGCAGAGGAGGGGAAAGACATGGAAATTTTGCATGTTTCCCTAGATCGTTGATCATGAAAGCCAAGGCCTCTGGCTTCCAGGCCATGGGGCAGAAAACGATCCTATATATCTGACTGAAGGCAAAGACACTTTGCTTCTCAAGGATGTGTGCACGCCAAAACCTTCTTCCCTTGGAGGAGGGAGGGAATCTTCTCATGCCCTGCATCCTGAATTGCAGTAAAGGAGAAGTCTACTAACCTTTCTCTCTAGACCCCTCACAGGTACAAGTGCCATCAGAAAGAGGTTTAAGAACACTGAGAAATCACTCCCTTCAAAGCCTAGGACTGAAGAGCCTTAGAGCATTGGGAGCTCATATACTGCTCCATAGACCCAGGACCATATGGAATTAATGCAGCCCTGTTAGGTTTCTCGAGGATGACAGGCTCCAGAGCCACATTTTTTGAAATCTGCAATGCTGAAGATTGCACTGACTGCTGGCTACTTGAAGAAATCCCCAGAAAAGCTTACTGCGACAGAAAGAATCACACACCTGACAGCACGTTACAATAAAAATTTTGGCTAAGACACTGAGATAGCCCATTTTAGAAGGAGGTGAGTTGTGAAGCCCATCACCCTGGAAGGTTTGTGCCCATTCTAAAGACAAAGCCCACCCAAGTTGCACCAGAAATCACTCCGCTGGCTCCCCCAGAGAGTACACGGAGGCTTCCCCCAACATGGCAGAACTCCGGCAACACTCGAGCATCCGTTTACCATTGAAGGCGGCTGCATCAGTGGGAATTTCCATGGCTTTTCATCCCAGCATCGAAGCGTGTAGATGTCTGGCCACAGACTCCTTACCTTGTTCGGAAGGAGCCTCTAGGCTTGGAACCGGGGTAACAGTCGGAGGCGCGACGGCAGTCCCTTCTGCGTCTGAGCATTGCGTCAGGTTGCAGTACTCCCACCTGACACCGGGATCCCTCGTATAACAATAAGGAGCTGCCACAGCATCTGGATTCCTGCAGTAGTTCATGATCAAGCCACTGGAAATTCCAAAACGATACACGTCACAAGAGGTGGGACAACATGCAGGGGCACCCCACACTCTCTCCTTTGTGCTGCAACAAGGTCATTACCGGTGCCTTTCTAATATTCCCATTAAAAGTACCATATGATTGCCACCAGCAAAAATGGCTCTCGATCACTAATCCTCTCTGCACATCTCTCATACTTAATAGATTATTACTATTTTTTTTAAATAAAAAATCTAAAGTAGCAAACGCTTCTTAGAAACACTGAGATAACACACACACGTGGCCGAAAAACGATCAGAGTATTCTCCTTCTGCCTCCTACCCAATCCATCTCTCTGGAATAACTGGTATGGGTTTTGACGTCTGTATTGTGGGATTGTGTATTCACATGCAAATGCATCTGTATCTGTCTAGTCTCCGTATCTCTCTCGGTAGGACTTCATATTCTAATGTGGGAGTTGCAACGAACATGTAGTTCTTCAGAAAACACACGTCATCCAGGAGGATAGCCGTTCCAGGTCAACCCTCACACTCTATGTACTCAATACGTAGTGAAAAGGCTCTACCTTTCCCACAGAAAAGCATTGTGCAAATAGTATTACTGTCTGTCAGGTTTAGTAGGTTTGTTTCTCCAAGACTTCTCAAAGCTGCCCTGGAAAACTTGCTCCCAGGCAGGATGCAGTATCTCTAGAAGGGGTTCCTAGGCAGGTCCTTCTCTCCTGCTCTCAGTCTACCCTCTGCTGGCCGCAGCTACTCCGGGACTGAGGGAAAGGGGGATGAGTTGAAAGAACAGTGGGACCCATGGCATAAAGGAAGACGGCAGGGTGGACTAAGAGATCTGAAGAGGTCGGACAGCTACGGAGCAGCAGAGAAAAATGCATTAGGGGGCAAAGCAGGCGAGTAGTTTGGGCTGCGGGGATCTTGAAGCATTCGCTCTTCCTTATGCCTCCCAAGAACGTTGCTCCAACCTCCCAGTATCCTCACATTCATGACCTCTGGCTGCCTGAGAAAATGGGAAATGTATTATGGGCCATGGGGTTCCAACACTGTCTCTCTAGAGACTCTAGACTTGTGGCCTAGTCTCAACCCCAGACCCTCCATTCCAGGAAGCTGGTTCAATGAGCAACTGGATGTATAAGAGCCTGAGCTCTTGAAAGACTTCTAGTTCTTCCTTGGCTTCCCTCTTTTGAATGCATGGACTATTCTTATTATACCAAAAACCTCAGAGTTCAAACCTTTGTGATTGCTCTAGGATTTGCAATATCCCTTCGAACCCGCACAGTACCCTTTTATTAATATGACACACCATCGTGCATGAGGTAAAGAAACTTACAACGGTACACTTCGAATTAATCCCTTCGTGATTTATGCTACCATTTCAAATTCTTACCTCTACATATGCTGAAGTTAAATATCTTGCTATCATTTTGTTTCAAGTAGTCAACTCTCATTTACAAAGATATAGAAATTTGATCAAGAAAATATTTTGCATTTACATCTATCTACATTTGCCAATTGCTGGATTCTTCATTACGTGGGCTGCAGAAAGTTCCTTTCTTGTTCAATTCTTCTTCTACCTAATTCCTTCGGGTCACCTCTCTTGTTACATAAGCCTGCTGATTTCCAATTCTTACAGTTTCCGGTTTCTTTCTTTGGGGCAGTGCACAATATGCATTTATCCGACATGGATGATCTTCAAGGCATTTTATTGCTGGATTCAGCATTCCCGGTTGATCTCTTTTTGTTCCTGATTATCATTTTAACAATATTCCCTGGTATCTGGCTTCCAGTGTTTCTGAGGTGAACACATTGGCAATTTGTATCAGTGTACTTGTAGGAAGACACAGCTCTTTTTCCTCCAGTTTCTCGTGACAGGTTTCTTCTTATTATATCTTTGCCTTGTTACCTTCGAACTGTGATGTACAAAAGTACATCATACAGGTTGGGTTTTTTTTCCGAAATTCCCTATGTGATCCCTTGAGTTTCACGATTCTGTGATTTTTTTTAATGTTCTTCGTAATTGAAAAGTTATCAGCCATCCTTGATTCCGGTATTTGTTTCTATTCCAAACTCCCTTGCTCTTTACTGTGACTTGCTTCCCACATGCAGGAAATCTTTTCATATTTTCCTACATGTCTGTGAGGCTCGCTTAATTTTATATTTCACTGTTTCTTCAGGGGTGCGCGTGTCTGTGTGTGTTAGAACTTGTGAGTTTCTGCGTGTGTGTGAGTATGGGTGTGTTTTCAGTTTGTGTGTGTGTGTGTGTGTGTGTGTGTAGCTCATTCTGTAGGTTCTCTAGAATTGTGTGTTGGGTAATGTTTTCCTCTGAAACGTCTAAATTGATCAGCCGGCCATACAGTAATTTTTTTCAATTAAGACATACTTTTTTTATACTAGCTCTTTAATTTAATTTGGCTATTCTGTACTGTTAATTTCTCTTGATATGATATCTGCTTTCTTGCATGTTGTTTTTTTAAATATTTGAAATCAGTTATCATACTGATATGTCAAATTTTCACGCAATTCTAATCATTTCTCTCATTCCTGAGCCTGTTTGTATTACCCGATTTATTTCCTGGTCATGGGTCACACGAAACGCTTTTCTACATGTAGTCAGATTTTAAATTTAGGACTCACTCTGCGGATACCGCATAGCTGAGGCAATCGACTTTGTTGTTTACTTCTAAAGAGAGTTGAGATTTCCTCTCACAGGCACTTCATTGATTGGAAACCGATTTGATGCTTGGACACTTGCTTTCCAGCTGTGCAAGGGGTTGTCTGCAGCTGACTTTATTCTAGTAATATACTAAGTGTACCTTTAAATTACGGCTGTTCTGGGGTCTCCACTGAATTGGCAATGTGCTCCGTGAGGACTCTCTGGTCTAGCTGGGAAGAACTCCAGTATCCCAGAGTGCTATGTGATCTCTCTCTTCTTTATTGAGCTTCCTGTGCTCTTGTACTTGCTGTTTCTCAGTAAATGTTCTTTGCCACACTTTCTCGTGGAACCATTTCCTGTGCACAGGCAGCGTCATGTCAGGCCAACGACTGGAGGAGACTTCTATGCGTATTTGTAGAGCTCTTTTCCTCCACAAACCAGTTCTTATTTCTAGCAGACCTAGAAAAATTTCAGCTACCACAGTCATCCCAAACTCCAATCCCTCTCCTCCATTCAGCAAGATGGCTACAGTCTGCTTGGGCTCCATCTCCTTGCTATTCAGTGCAGGAAGGGTATCCAGGAAGAAAGCCAAGGCATCTGCGGAGTGGAGCCCATCATTGCCCCTCTCTCAATTCTCTAGGTCCTCTACCATCTGTTGTCCCACATGTAGAAACCATTTTTCCATGTCTCTGGTAGTCGCTTGTGGCCAAAATATTGGCCATTGGGTGGTCAGACCCGGGCTTCTCTCCATCCACCCATCCCTTTTACTTTTCAGCATCCCTCTCTGTGCTGACTCTCATCTGCCTTCCTTCCTTGGATCTTCTCTTGCTGGGAACCTGTATCCCTTCAGGCCACTGGTACTTAGGAACGAGTGTTTTTCTGACAATCGGAATATACGTAGATATAGAAACAGATCAATTCACCTGTCCATAAATAAGCACCTATTCTTTCCTCTTGAACCCAGAGAGAAAAGGCAAACGCAACCTTCCCTTCAGGAAGTGGAAGCCAGAATAACGGAATTCCAACTGGAAAGTCTCCATTGACGTTTAGTTGGTGTTGTGGAAGGGTAATCTAAGTGTCTGGTCCTTTGTCATTCTGACTTTCTTCATAATGTGATCTCCTCACCTCCAGATTTCCCTTCTGCTCAATAGAACTAGGAGGAAGGAGAGGGAGCTTAACATTTCCCTTCTCTCAGACCCTTAGCTCCAAGGCAATCATCCTGAGACATTTTGCTACGCCATCTGCATCTGTCACAAGTTGAGTTCGGAGAACTCAGCTTGAGACACATCTCTTGTAACAGAAACTTCACTTGGCCCTTTCTTCTCTTATGGTAAAGAACAAAGACATACGCATTTGGGTAGTATTCTGGGGTCCGACTATGCGAGTGTGGTGTCATAGATGACCAAGCTTGGCAGGTTCTTCCTGTGACAGTGGTGGAGTATGTGCCTCGATAACTCTGTCCATTACCATGGTAGCACTCCTGCACCCCAGGCCTTTGCTCAGTCGGTGCTGAAATGAAAACACGGGAAATCAAGCTGAGTATCTCTGAGCATAGAGAAACATGTGAAGCCATTTGTGACACAACCAGAAAGGAGTCTATGAGAATTACGACCGTTCTCTTTTCCTTATCCATAGGCAGATGGATGTGAGAAAACCGACCAACAAACAAACACCAAAGCAACAGATTCCTCCCATTCTAGAACTGTAGTAAGTTCTTGGAAATATTTCACCTGACACCTTAGAGAAACACAACAGATCAGATTCCTCATTGGAAAGTGAGCTCACGAGGTAGCACCTTTCTAGGAAACTCTACTGAATCTTCATGCAAACGGCACCGCATTTGGCAATGCGGGCTGCAGGTGGTAATTGGCTGTCGGGGGCAGAGTTTGGGACAGACATGGAAATTTTGCATGTTTCCCTAGACCGTTGATCATGAAAGCCAAGGCCTTTGGCTTCCGGGCCATGGGGCAGAAAACGGTCCTATGTATCTGACTGAAGACAAAGACACTTTGCTTCTCAGGGATGTGTGCACGCCAAAAGCTTCTTCCCTTGGAGGAGAGAGGGAATCCTCTCATGCCCTGCATCCTGAATTGTAGTAAAGTAGGAGTCTACTACTCTTTCTCTCTAGACCCCTCACAGGTACAAGTGTCATCAGAAAGAGGTTTAAGAATACTGAGAAATCACTCCCTTCAAAGCCTAGGGCTGAAGAGCCTTAGAGCACTGGGAGCTCATGTACTGCTCCATAGACCCAGGGCCACATGGAATCAATGCAGCCCTCTTAGGTTTCTCGAGGGTGACAGGCTCCAGAGCCACATTTCTCAGAATCTGCAATGCTGAAGATTGCTCTGAATGCTGGCTACTTGAAGAAATCCCCGGAAAAGCTTACTGGCTTGGAAAGAGTGACACACCTGACAGCATGTTACAATAAAAATTTTGGCTGGGACACTGAGGTAGCCCGTTTTACAACAAGGTGAATTTTGAAGTCGATCCCCCTGGAGGGTTTGTGCCCATCCTAAAGACAAAGCCCAACCACGTTGCACCAGAAATCACTCCGCTGGCTCCCCCAGAGAGTGCACGGAGGCTTCCTCCTACATGGTAGAACTCAGGCAACACTCGAGCATCCGTTTACCATTGAAGGCGGCTGCATCAGTGGGAATTTCCATGGCTTTTCATCCCAGCATCGAAGCGTGTAGATGTCTGGCCACAGACTCCTTACCTTGTTCGGAAGGAGCCTCTAGGCTTGGAACCGGGGTAACAGTCGGAGGCGCGACGGCAGTCCCTTCTGCGTCTGAGCATTGCGTCAGGTTGCAGTACTCCCACCTGACACCGGGATCCCTCGTATAACAATAAGGAGCTGCCACAGCATCTGGATTCCTGCAGTAGTTCATGATCAAGCCACTGGAAATTCCAAAACGATACACGTCACAAGAGGTGGGACAACATGCAGGGGCACCCCACACTCTCTCCTTTGTGCTGCAACAAGGTCATTACCGGTGCCTTTCTAATATTCCCATTAAAAGTACCATATGATTGCCACCAGCAAAAATGGCTCTCGATCACTAATCCTCTCTGCACATCTCTCATACTTAATAGATTATTACTATTTTTTTAAATAAAAAATCTAAAGTAGCAAACGCTTCTTAGAAACACTGAGATAACACACACACGTGGCCGAAAAACGATCAGAGTATTCTCCTTCTGCCTTCTGCCCAATCCATCTCTCTGGAATAACTGGTATGGGTTTTGACGTCTGTATTGTGGGATTGTGTATTCACATGCAAATGCATCTGTATCTGTCTAGTCTCCGTATCTCTCTCGGTAGGACTTCATATTCTAATGTGGGAGTTGCAACGAACATGTAGTTCTTCAGAAAACACACGTCATCCAGGAGGATAGCCGTTCCAGGTCAACCCTCACACTCTATGTACTCAATACGTAGTGAAAAGGCTCTACCTTTCCCACAGAAAAGCATTGTGCAAATAGTATTACTGTCTGTCAGGTTTAGTAGGTTTGTTTCTCCAAGACTTCTCAAAGCTGCCCTGGAAAACTTGCTCCCAGGCAGGATGCAGTATCTCTAGAAGGGGTTCCTAGGCAGGTCCTTCTCTCCTGCTCTCAGTCTACCCTCTGCTGGCCGCAGCTACTCCGGGACTGAGGGAAAGGGGGATGAGTTGAAAGAACAGTGGGACCCATGGCATAAAGGAAGACGGCAGGGTGGACTAAGAGATCTGAAGAGGTCGGACAGCTACGGAGCAGCAGAGAAAAATGCATTAGGGGGCAAAGCAGGCGAGTAGTTTGGGCTGCGGGGATCTTGAAGCATTCGCTCTTCCTTATGCCTCCCAAGAACGTTGCTCCAACCTCCCAGTATCCTCACATTCATGACCTCTGGCTGCCTGAGAAAATGGGAAATGTATTATGGGCCATGGGGTTCCAACACTGTCTCTCTAGAGACTCTAGACTTGTGGCCTAGTCTCAACCCCAGACCCTCCATTCCAGGAAGCTGGTTCAATGAGCAACTGGATGTATAAGAGCCTGAGCTCTTGAAAGACTTCTAGTTCTTCCTTGGCTTCCCTCTTTTGAATGCATGGACTATTCTTATTATACCAAAAACCTCAGAGTTCAAACCTTTGTGATTGCTCTAGGATTTGCAATATCCCTTCGAACCCGCACAGTACCCTTTTATTAATATGACACACCATCGTGCATGAGGTAAAGAAACTTACAACGGTACACTTCGAATTAATCCCTTCGTGATTTATGCTACCATTTCAAATTCTTACCTCTACATATGCTGAAGTTAAATATCTTGCTATCATTTTGTTTCAAGTAGTCAACTCTCATTTACAAAGATATAGAAATTTGATCAAGAAAATATTTTGCATTTACATCTATCTACATTTGCCAATTGCTGGATTCTTCATTACGTGGGCTGCAGAAAGTTCCTTTCTTGTTCAATTCTTCTTCTACCTAATTCCTTCGGGTCACCTCTCTTGTTACATAAGCCTGCTGATTTCCAATTCTTACAGTTTCCGGTTTCTTTCTTTGGGGCAGTGCACAATATGCATTTATCCGACATGGATGACCTTCAAGGCATTTTATTGCTGGATTCAGCATTCCCGGTTGATCTCTTTTTGTTCCTGATTATCATTTTAACAATATTCCCTGGTATCTGGCTTCCAGTGTTTCTGAGGTGAACACATTGGCAATTTGTATCAGTGTACTTGTAGGAAGACACAGCTCTTTTTCCTCCAGTTTCTCGTGACAGGTTTCTTCTTATTACATCTTTGCCTTGTTACCTTCGAACTGTGATGTACAAAAGTACATCATACAGGTTGGGTTTTTTTTCCGAAATTCCCTATATGATCCCTTGAGTTTCACGATTCTGTGATTTTTTTTAATGTTCTTCGTAATTGAAAAGTTATCAGCCATCCTTGATTCTGGTATTTGTTTCTATTATAAACTCCCTTGCTCTTTACTGTGACTTGCTTCCCACATGCAGGAAATCTTTTCATATTTTCCTACATGTCTGTGAGGCTCGCTTAATTTTATATTTCACTGTTTCTTCAGGGGTGCGCGTGTCTGTGTGTGTTAGAACTTGTGAGTTTCTGCGTGTGTGTGAGTATGGGTGTGTTTTCAGTGTGTGTGTGTGTGTGTGTGTGTGTGTGTGTAGCTCATTCTGTAGGTTCTCTAGAATTGTGTGTTGGGTAATGTTTTCCTCTGAAACGTCTAAATTGATCAGCCGGCCATACAGTAATTTTTTTCAATTAAGACATACTTTTTTTATACTACCTCTTTAATTTAATTTGGCTATTCTGTACTGTTAATTTCTCTTGATATGATATCTGCTTTCTTGCATGTTGTTTTTTTAAATATTTGAAATCAGTTATCATACTGATATGTCAAATTTTCACGCAATTCTAATCATTTCTCTCATTCCTGAGCCTGTTTGTATTACCCGATTTATTTCCTGGTCATGGGTCACACGAAACGCTTTTCTACATGTAGTCAGATTTTAAATTTAGGACTCACTCTGCGGATACCGCATAGCTGAGGCAATCGACTTTGTTGTTTACTTCTAAAGAGAGTTGAGATTTCCTCTCACAGGCACTTCATTGATTGGAAACCGATTTGATGCTTGGACACTTGCTTTCCAGCTGTGCAAGGGGTTGTCTGCAGCTGACTTTATTCTAGTAATATACTAAGTGTACCTTTAAATTACGGCTGTTCTGGGGTCTCCACTGAATTGGCAATGTGCTCCGTGAGGACTCTCTGGTCTAGCTGGGAAGAACTCCAGTATCCCAGAGTGCTATGTGATCTCTCTCTTCTTTATTGAGCTTCCTGTGCTCTTGTACTTGCTGTTTCTCAGTAAATGTTCTTTGCCACACTTTCTCGTGGAACCATTTCCTGTGCACAGGCAGCGTCATGTCAGGCCAACGACTGGAGGAGACTTCTATGCGTATTTGTAGAGCTCTTTTCCTCCACACAAACCAGTTCTTATTTCTAGCAGACCTAGAAAAATTTCAGCTACCACAGTCATCCCAAACTCCAATCCCTCTCCTCCATTCAGCAAGATGGCTACAGTCTGCTTGGGCTCCATCTCCTTGCTATTCAGTGCAGGAAGGGTATCCAGGAAGAAAGCCAAGGCATCTGCGGAGTGGAGCCCATCATTGCCCCTCTCTCAATTCTCTAGGTCCTCTACCATCTGTTGTCCCACATGTAGAAACCATTTTTCCATGTCTCTGGTAGTCGCTTGTGGCCAAAATATTGGCCATTGGGTGGTCAGACCCGGGCTTCTCTCCATCCACCCATCCCTTTTACTTTTCAGCATCCCTCTCTGTGCTGACTCTCATCTGCCTTCCTTCCTTGGATCTTCTCTTGCTGGGAACCTGTATCCCTTCAGGCCACTGGTACTTAGGAACGAGTGTTTTTCTGACAATCGGAATATACGTAGATATAGAAACAGATCAATTCACCTGTCCATAAATAAGCACCTATTCTTTCCTCTTGAACCCAGAGAGAAAAGGCAAACGCAACCTTCCCTTCAGGAAGTGGAAGCCAGAATAACGGAATTCCAACTGGAAAGTCTCCATTGACGTTTAGTTGGTGTTGTGGAAGGGTAATCTAAGTGTCTGGTCCTTTGTCATTCTGACTTTCTTCATAATGTGATCTCCTCACCTCCAGATTTCCCTTCTGCTCAATAGAACTAGGAGGAAGGAGAGGGAGCTTAACATTTCCCTTCTCTCAGACCCTTAGCTCCAAGGCAATCATCCTGAGACATTTTGCTACGCCATCTGCATCTGTCACAAGTTGAGTTCGGAGAACTCAGCTTGAGACACATCTCTTGTAACAGAAACTTCACTTGGCCCTTTCTTCTCTTATGGTAAAGAACAAAGACATACGCATTTGGGTAGTATTCTGGGGTCCGACTATGCGAGTGTGGTGTCATAGATGACCAAGCTTGGCAGGTTCTTCCTGTGACAGTGGTGGAGTATGTGCCTCGATAACTCTGTCCATTACCATGGTAGCACTCCTGCACCCCAGGCCTTTGCTCAGTCGGTGCTGAAATGAAAACACGGGAAATCAAGCTGAGTATCTCTGAGCATAGAGAAACATGTGAAGCCATTTGTGACACAACCAGAAAGGAGTCTATGAGAATTACGACCGTTCTCTTTTCCTTATCCATAGGCAGATGGATGTGAGAAAACCGACCAACAAACAAACACCAAAGCAACAGATTCCTCCCATTCTAGAACTGTAGTAAGTTCTTGGAAATATTTCACCTGACACCTTAGAGAAACACAACAGATCAGATTCCTCATTGGAAAGTGAGCTCACGAGGTAGCACCTTTCTAGGAAACTCTACTGAATCTTCATGCAAACGGCACCGCATTTGGCAATGCGGGCTGCAGGTGGTAATTGGCTGTCGGGGGCAGAGTTTGGGACAGACATGGAAATTTTGCATGTTTCCCTAGACCGTTGATCATGAAAGCCAAGGCCTTTGGCTTCCGGGCCATGGGGCAGAAAACGGTCCTATGTATCTGACTGAAGACAAAGACACTTTGCTTCTCAGGGATGTGTGCACGCCAAAAGCTTCTTCCCTTGGAGGAGAGAGGGAATCCTCTCATGCCCTGCATCCTGAATTGTAGTAAAGTAGGAGTCTACTACTCTTTCTCTCTAGACCCCTCACAGGTACAAGTGTCATCAGAAAGAGGTTTAAGAATACTGAGAAATCACTCCCTTCAAAGCCTAGGGCTGAAGAGCCTTAGAGCACTGGGAGCTCATGTACTGCTCCATAGACCCAGGGCCACATGGAATCAATGCAGCCCTCTTAGGTTTCTCGAGGGTGACAGGCTCCAGAGCCACATTTCTCAGAATCTGCAATGCTGAAGATTGCTCTGAATGCTGGCTACTTGAAGAAATCCCCGGAAAAGCTTACTGGCTTGGAAAGAGTGACACACCTGACAGCATGTTACAATAAAAATTTTGGCTGGGACACTGAGGTAGCCCGTTTTACAACAAGGTGAATTTTGAAGTCGATCCCCCTGGAGGGTTTGTGCCCATCCTAAAGACAAAGCCCAACCACGTTGCACCAGAAATCACTCCGCTGGCTCCCCCAGAGAGTGCACGGAGGCTTCCTCCTACATGGTAGAACTCAGGCAACACTCGAGCATCCGTTTACCATTGAAGGCGGCTGCATCAGTGGGAATTTCCATGGCTTTTCATCCCAGCATCGAAGCGTGTAGATGTCTGGCCACAGACTCCTTACCTTGTTCGGAAGGAGCCTCTAGGCTTGGAACCGGGGTAACAGTCGGAGGCGCGACGGCAGTCCCTTCTGCGTCTGAGCATTGCGTCAGGTTGCAGTACTCCCACCTGACACCGGGATCCCTCGTATAACAATAAGGAGCTGCCACAGCATCTGGATTCCTGCAGTAGTTCATGATCAAGCCACTGGAAATTCCAAAACGATACACGTCACAAGAGGTGGGACAACATGCAGGGGCACCCCACACTCTCTCCTTTGTGCTGCAACAAGGTCATTACCGGTGCCTTTCTAATATTCCCATTAAAAGTACCATATGATTGCCACCAGCAAAAATGGCTCTCGATCACTAATCCTCTCTGCACATCTCTCATACTTAATAGATTATTACTATTTTTTTTAAATAAAAAATCTAAAGTAGCAAACGCTTCTTAGAAACACTGAGATAACACACACACGTGGCCGAAAAACGATCAGAGTATTCTCCTTCTGCCTTCTGCCCAATCCATCTCTCTGGAATAACTGGTATGGGTTTTGACGTCTGTATTGTGGGATTGTGTATTCACATGCAAATGCATCTGTATCTGTCTAGTCTCCGTATCTCTCTCGGTAGGACTTCATATTCTAATGTGGGAGTTGCAACGAACATGTAGTTCTTCAGAGAAAACATGGCATCAAGGAGGATAACCTTTCCAGGTCAACTCTCACACTCCATGTACTCAAAACCTAGTGAAAAGGCTCTACCTTTCCCATGGAAAAGCATTGTGCAAATAGTATTACTGTCTGTCATTCCCATATCATGTCGGTCAAGTAGGTTTGTTTCTGCAAGACTTCTCAAAGCTGCCCTGGAAAACTTGCTCCCAGGCAGAATGCAGTATCTCTAGAATGGGTTCCTGGGCAGGACCTTCTCTCCTGCTCTCAGTCTATCCTCTGCTGTCCACAGCCACTCCAGAACTGGGGGATGAGTTGAAAGAACAGTGGGTCCCATGGCATAAAGGAAGATGGCAGGAAGACTAAGAGATCTGAAGAGGTCGGACAGCTATGGAGGAGCAAAAAACAATGAATTAGGAGGCAAAGCAGCTGAGGAGTTTGGGCTGCGGGGATCTTGAAGCATTCGCTCTTCCTTATGCCTCCCAAGAACGTTGCTCCAACCTCTCAGTATCCTCACATTCATGACCTGTGGCTGCCTGAGAAAATGGGAAATGTATTATGGGCCATGGGGATCCAACATTGTGTCTCTAGTGGCTCTACACATGTGGCCTAGTCTCAGTCCCAGACCCTCCATTCCAGGAAGCTCATTCAATGAGCAACTGGATGTACTAAGAGCCAGAGCTCTTTAAAGACTTTTTTTTCTTCCTTGGCTTCCCTCTTTTGAATACATAAAATATTGTTATTATACAACAAACCTCAGAGTTAAAAACTTTGTGATTGCTCTAGGATTTGCAATATCCCTTTGAACCCACACATTAACCTTTTATTAGTATTACATACTATCGTGCATGAGGTAAGAAACTTACAGTGGTACACTTCCAATTAATCCCTACATGATTTATGCTACATGTTCAAATTTTTACTTCTACATATGGTAAAGTTAAATATATTGGTATCATTTTGCTTCAACTCGTCAACTCTCATTTAAAAAGATATAAACGTTTGATCAAGAAAACATGTAGCATTTTCATCTACATTTGCCAATTGCTAGGTTCTTCATTATATAGGCTGCAGAAAGTTCCCTTCTTGTTCTATTCTTCTTCTCCTTAATTCCTTAGGGTCACCTCTTTTGTTACATAAGCCTGCTGATTCCAAAGTCTTACAGTTTCCGGTTTCTTTGTTTAGGGGAGTGCACAATGTGCATTCCTCCAACATGGATGAACTTCAAGGCATTTTATTGCTGGATGTAGCCTTCTCAGTTGAGCTCTTCTTTCTTACGTTTATTACTTTAATGTTATTCTTTTGTGTCCAGGTTGCAGTGTTTCTGATGGGAACACATTAGTCACTTGTATCACTGTTCCTCTAGCAAGACACAGCTTTTTGTTTTTCCCGTTCCTTACGAGATTTTTCTGTGTATTATGTCTTTGCCCTCTGACAGTTGAACTGCTATGTACCCAGTGGCATCCTATAATTGTCATTTTAGAAATTATTTTTCTGATCCATTGAGCTTCTTGAGTCCGTGATTTTTTAATCTTCTTTATATTTGGAAAATTTTCAGCCATCCTTGCTTTCAGTATATATTTCTGTTCCAATCTCCTTCCCCCTTTCTGTGACTTGCTTCCCACATGTAGGAAATCTTTTTATGTTTTCCTTTATGTCTGTGTGGCTCGGTTGATTTCATTTTTCAGCATTTGTGGATGTGTGTGTGTGTTTGTAAGCTTATACATGTTTGAGTGTGTGTGTATGCATGCGTGTGTTTTGTATGTGTGTATCTGGTTCTGTAGGTTCTATGCAATTATTTTTCATTTGGTATTTTCTTCTGAAATGTCTAACTAGATGGGGAGGCCATCTAGTAATTTTTTCATTTAAGACATATCTCTTAGTAGTTCTTCGATTTGGCTCTTTATACTCTTACTGTCTCTGGATAAGGTGTCTGTTGCATTCTATATTCATGTTTTCTTAAATCCTAGAACTCAATTATTATATAGTGATATGTCAAATTTTTATGCCATTCTAATCATTTCTGTCTCTTCTGGGTCTGTTTGTATTGGCTGATTTTCCTCCTGCTTGTGGGTCACACTAAAAGGTTTCTATGTGTAGTCAAGTTTTATATTTAGGCCTCACACTGTGGATACTGCATAGCTGAGCCACTTGACTTTGATGTTTACCTCTAAAGATGGTTGAGTTTTCCTCTCAGAGGCAGTTCATTGACTTGGACATCATTCTGATGCTTGGAGACTTCCTTTTCAGTTTTGCTATTGTTTGTGTGGAGCTGCCTTTATTCTAAGAATATACTAATTCTACTCCTAAAGTATGGCTTTTCCTGGGTCTCTACTGAATGCCCAAGATGTTCAGTGAAGTCTCTCTCCTCTGTGTGGTCCAAACTCCAATATCCCTTAGTGCTATTTGAGCTCTGTCATGTTTATTGAGCTCACTGTTCCATTGTAGTTGCTGCTCTTCCGTAGATGTTCTTTGCCCTACTTTCTTGTGGATCTATTTTCTGTGTACATGCAGCTTCATGTTTAGCCAATGACTCGAGGAGATTTCTATGCATATTTCTAGAACTCCTTTCCTCCACAAATCTGTTCTCATTGTTAGCAGGCCTAGAAAATCCTAGCCACCTGAATAATCCCAAACTCCAATGTCCCTCCTCTGTTCAGCAAGATGGCTACAGTTTTTTTTGGGCTCCATCTCCTGCCCTTCAGTGCAGGAAGGGTCTCCAGGAAGAAAACCAGTGCATCTGTTGAGTTGATCTCATTGTTCTCTCTCTCGCAATTCCCTTGGTCCTCTACCATCTATTGTCCAACAAGCGGAAATCATTTTTTCTTGTCTTTGGTAGTCACTTATGTGTGAAAGACTGGCCATGGTGTGGTCAGACCCCAGCTTCTGTCTATCTTCCCGCACTTTTTATTGTTTAGCATCTGTCTCATTTCTTACTTTCATCTGCCTTCCTGCCTTTGCTTCTCTCTTCCTGGCAACCCGTATTCCTTCAGACCACTGGTGCTCAGGACCCAGGGTGTTTCTACCCGTTGGAATAGACATAGATATAGAAAAAGATAGATTCGCCTTTCCATAGATATGCACATATCATTTACTTGTGAGCCAAGACAGAAAAGGCCAACACAACCTTCACTTCAGGAATTGGAGATTAGAATTATAGAATTTCAAGGGGTAAAGATCACATTGACCTTTAGTGAGTGTTGTTGAAGCTGACTCTGTCTAAACATTCTGATTTTCCATTATTGTGGCCTCACCACCGCCAGATATTCTCCTGATTTTATCAAACTCTCAGGAAAGAGAGCCAGCTTAACATTTCTCTTCTATCATACTCTTTGCTCAAAGTAATGTTTCTCAGACATTTTGCCATGCATTCTATGTGTGAGAAAAATTTAATCATAAGAAGTTAGCTTGACGCACACCTTTTCTAAGACAAATTTTACTTGGACCTTGTTTTGCTTACTGTAAGATTAATGACATACGCATTTGGGTAGTTTTCTGTGGTCCTATTATGTTGATGTGGTGTCATAGATGACCAAGCTTGGCAGGTCCTTCCTGTGACAGTGGTGGAGTACGTGCCTCGATAACTCTGTCCATCACCATGGTAGCAATCCTGGACCACATGGCTTTGCTCAGGTGCTGCTAAAATTAAAACAGAAGAAATCAAGCTGAATAGTTCTTAGAACAGAAAAAAATGTGAAGTCATTTATGACACAAACAGGAAAAAGTCTCTGAGAATTACGACCATTCTCTTCTCTTGATTAGCAGGCAGACAGACGTGCAAAAAACCAAAGGAATAGATTCATATCATTCTAGAACTTTATTTAATTCTTAGAAATATTTTATTTAAAAGTTTAGAGGAAGTTAACATATCAGAATTCTTCTCACCAGAAACTATGCTCATGTGCAAGCTCTTTTTTAGAAATCTCTTCTTAATGTTCATGAGGACCACAGGACAGGAGAGATCAGAGGGAGATACATTTGGCACTGCAAGCTGTAGGTGGTGATGGGCTGTCAGGGTCAAATATGAAAACCTTGCACAATTCCCTAGACCACTGCTCAGAAAAGCCAAAGCCTTAAGTTTCTGGGCAATGGGGGGAGAAAAATGGTTTTGCATCTAGCACCGCAGGCAAAGCCCTTCACTTCTCAGGGATAGGTAGATGATCAAATCTTATTTCCTTGGAGGAGAGACTGGAAATTTTCTTGTGCCCAGCATCCTGCATTGCAACATAGCAGACGTCTGCTACTCTTTCTCTCCAAACCCACCACAGGTTCAAGTTCCATCCAAATAAGGCACAAGAATACTGAGAATGCATTCCCTTCAAAGCCCTGCAGAACCTGACTAAGACTGAAGTGGCTCCAGGAGATACAGCATTTGTTTATTTCCACCAAAGATTGAGCATTCATTAAGAAGAAACAGCAGTTTCAATGGGGTTAGATTATGTGTATGAAGATATCCCCTCTGTAGTGCAGGCATGCAGTGACTGCTAAAATCTAATAATAGATAGGAACACTGAGAAAATTCTTCCACACCCCAGGCCCCACTCTAAGCAAAAGATAGCAGCAACCCATCACTGGAGGAATTTAAACCTGTGGTGCATTTAAGATAAAAGCAACAAGCACAAATGCCAAATTCAGTTCAACCAGTTACTAGGTTGACTCAATTGACCACAAAACATATTTTCAACAGAAGATGGGTGCCCATTTCAAAGCATAAATAATATTTACTGCAATCTCTACTGTTCCTCCATTTATGATACCCAGTGTTTGATTAAACAATTACAAGACACACCAAAAGCTGAAGAGGGAAGATAAGTCACTGTTAAATAATAAAGCAATCAAGACAGACAGACTCAGAAAAGACACCATCTGGAAACTATCAGTTTGGGTTTGTATGATACCTATGTTAATATGTTAAAGAATCTTGTGGTAAAGGTGGACAATATCCATGGATAGGGGGAGAATTTCAGCAAAGAGATGGAAACTATAGAAAAGAGTAACATGAAAATGCTAGGAAGAGATTTATAATATCAGAGATGAAGAATTCTCTGAATGCACTGAGGAGTCAATTAGACACAACTAACAAAATAATCCATAAACTTGAACATAGTCTACTAGAACTTATCCAAACCAACACAGATACAAAAAAAGAGTTCCTGACAAAAAAAAAAAAGCAGAAGAAGCATATAAGGTTTATGAAGCAATATGAATGATCTAACATTTGAATACTTACAGTCCAAAAAGAAGAATACAGAGAGAGAGAAGTGAAAAAAAAAACAAAACAGTAGAATAGATAATGGCTATGAATTTTACAAAAACAATAAAAATCAACAATCTGCAAATCCAAGGAGCTCAGGAAACCTCAAGCAGAATAAATACAAAAAGTTAATAATAAACAAATTATAGTCAAACTGTTGAAAAACAAAGATGAGAATATCTTAAAGGCAGTCAGAGAAAAAGGAACTATTGAATACAAAGAAACAAAGATCAGATTTCTAGTCAGAAACTATTCAAAACGGAATATAATGGAACATCATTGTTAAAATGATACAAGGAATGAAACTCTCAACCCAGTATCTATACTCAGCAAAATCACTTTTAAAAACTGAAGGCAAAATAAAGACTTCTTCAGACAAAGAAAAGCTGAAAGACAACAGCAACAGCAGTCCCGTGCTATAAGAAATGCTAAAGGTTGTTTTTCACAGAAAGAATGTGACTCCAGATGGAAATTGGGATCTACTGTAAAAGATAAGGAGCACCAGAAATGGTAAAATAAAGAAATTATTCAAAATATTTGTAGTCATAATCACTTTAAAAAACAACTGATTATTCAGGGTAAAAATAGTGTCAATGTATTATGAGAGCTATAACATAATAGAAGTAAGCCTCTATTACAAAGAGCAATAGCACAACATTTTGAGAGGGAGGAAGGAGAAGTGCAATGATGTAAGATTTCTATATATCCAGTATAATTCTGTCATTTGAAGGTGGAATGTGAAAAAATCAAAGTATATATTATAAACATTGTGGAAAATACTAAAACCATTAAAAATTAATTTAATAAGTAAGTCGTGGAGATAAACTCAATATAAATGAAGGCAGAAAAATATGAAAAAAGGAACAAAGTTTAAATGGGACAAAGAGAAATAACCAACTTAATGGTAGATTTAAATTTAATCCTATTAACAACTACTTTAATGCAAATGGTCTGAACATCTCAATTTAAAAGCTGAGAAAAAGATATACAAATACTAGTGAAAATAGAGCTGTGAAGGCTGTATTCATATCAGCACAAATAGACTTCAGAACAACGAATACTTCCAGAGATAAGAAGAAACATTACATAATGATAAAGGTCATCATCAAGAAGACCTAACAATCCAAATACACATGCCTAACAACAGAGCTTCAAAATATATAAAACAGAGTTACAATCTAAAAGAGAAATAGACTAATCTAGAGTTAAAGTTGGACACATCACCATTAATCCTCAGTAGTCAATAAAAAAAGAGAAAGACAAGCAGTAAGGATACAGAAGAACACCAGCAACCACCTTCACCTAAACGACCTTGAGAGAACACCCCGCTCAACAACAGAAGAAGACAGTCTTTTGAAGAGTACATGAAAGTGAGTTTTAGAACTCAATAATGAGTAATGAGTTCTGAAGTTGAATCAGTAATTAAAAACCTACACCAGAAAAACCCCTGGACCAGAGAGATTCCTAGCCAAAGTATACCAGTCATATAAAGAAGAGCTGATATCAAGCCTCCTGAAACAATTCCAAAAGATAAAAGAGGACAGACTAACTCATTCTATGAGGTCGTCATCATTCTGATATGGAACAACAAAAAAAGAAAACTTCAAGCCAATATCCTTGATGAACACAGATGCAAAAATTCTCAATAAAATACCAGCAATTGAATCCAAGAGTACATCAAAAAGCTAATCCACCACAATCAAGTAGGTTTTATTCCTGGGATATAAGGTTGGTTCAATGTATACAAATCAATAAATGAGATTAATGACATAAATTGTATTAGTCAGGGTTCTCTAGAGGGACAGAACTAATAGGATATATATATATTTTATATATATTATATATAATATATATTATATATAATATATAATATATAATATATATTATATATAATATATATTATATATAATATATAATATATATTATATATAATATATAATATATTATATATATTATATATAATATATATTATATATATTATATATAATATAATATATTATATGTATATAAAGGGGATCTTATTAAGTAGTATTAACTCAGCGGATCACAAGGTTCCACAACAGGCCCTCTGCAAGCTGAGGAGCAAGAAAGCCAGTCCAACTCCCAACGCTGAAGAACTTGGAGTCCGATGTTCAAGAGCAGGAAGCATTTGGCACAGGAGAAAGATGTAGGCTGGGAAGCTAATTCAGTCTAGTCTTTTCACATTTTTCTCCCTGCTTTACAATCTGGCCACACTGGAACTTGATTAGATGGTGTGTACCCAGATTAAGGGTGGGTCTGCCTTCCCAGCCCACTGACTCAAATGTTAATCTCCTTTTGCCACACCCTCACAGACATAACCGAGATTAATACTTTGCATCTTTCAATCCAATCAAGTTGACAGTATTAACCATCACAAGTCCAACTCCTTGTCAACTTGAACCCATACACACATCCTGAAATCATACATAATCTTCAAATAAAGACAATAATAAGGTCATAATTATGCCTAATATAATACAACTATCCTCATACAACCAGAAACGCACCAATCCCCAAACCAAAAGTTATTACATAAGGTTAACAATATTTAAATGCTGATATGAACAACACTTAAATGCTTAAATGCTGATGTGAAGTCCATAAATCTAAGGTCACATGATAAAGGAAAAATAAAGGAAATAAAATAAAGATATTTTCTTAGCACAAGTGTACACATGCATTTAGAAAGTGGATATAGTGCTGCAGCTGTCCACTTTCGGGTGGTGCCTGCATATCGTGCAGAACCATCTATGAACCAGTCCTTAGTCTTCCCTTCCTCTGTCAACTGATCATAGGGAACTCCCCATGAGGCCATTGGTGCAGGCTGGGGGAGGGAAGGCAGGGTGGCATGAGTGGAGAACATGGGCATTTGAGCCACTTCCTTATGTAACTTACTTGTGCCTTCAGGACCTGCTCAAGCCCGATCACATACACACCACTTCAATTTGATGATGAAATGCCGCTGTGCTGACCCACTTCATGGCTAGATGGGTCAGAAAGCAACCAGTTCATGATAGGCAGGTTCAGGTAGCATGGTGACTTTATGACCCACAGTCAAACGTTCAGTTACCACCAAAGCCCAATAACAGACCAATAGCTGTCTCTCAAAAGGAGAGTAGTTATCTGCAGAAGTGGCAGGGCCTTGCTCCAAAATCCTAGAGGTCTCCACTGTGATTCACCTATGGGGGCCTGCCAAAGGCTCCAAACAGCATCCCTATCTGCCACTGACACCTCAAGCACCATTGGATCTGCGGGGTCATGTGGCCCAAATGGCAGAGCAGCTTTCACAGCAGCCTGGACCTGTTTCAGAGCCTTCTTTTGTTCTAGACTGCACTTAAATCTGGCAGCCTTTCAGGTCACTCGATAAATGGGCCAGAGTAACACACCCAAACGAGGAATGTGTTGCCTCCAAAATCCAAATAGGCCCACCAGGCATTGTGCCTCTTTCTTGGTTGTAAGAGGGGCCAAACGCAGCAAGTTATGCTTCACCTTAGAAGGAATATCTCCATAGGTCTCATGCCACTGGAACCCTAGAAATTTTACCGAGGTAGAAAGTCCCTAAATTTTAGCTGGATTTATTTCCCATCCTCTGGCATACAAATGTCTCACCAATAAGTTCAGTGTGTTTGCTACTTCTTGCTCACTGTATCCAATCATCATAATGTCATGAATGTAATGGACCAGTGTTATATCTCGTGGAAGTGAAAAGCGAGCAAGGTCTCTCCAAATAAGATTATGACACAAAGCTGGAGAGTTGATACACCCCTGAGGTAGGGTGGTAAAGGTATAATGCTGGCCTTGTCAGCTGAAGGCAAATTGCTTCTGGTGGGTCTTATGGACAGGAATGGAGAAAAAGCCACTTGCCAAGCCAATGGCTGCATACCAGGCACCAGGAGATGTGTTAATTTGCTCAAGCAACAAAACCACAACTGGTAGAGCAGCTGCAATTGGAGTCACCACTTGGTTAAGCTTAAAATAATCCACCATCATTTTCCAAGATCCATCTGTCCTCTGCACAGGTCAAATGGGAGAGTTGAACAGGGATGTGGTGGGAATCACCACCCCTGCGTCTTTCAAGTCCTTGATGGTGACACTAATCACTTCAGTCCCTCCAGGGATGGGATATTGTTTTTGATTTTTTTATTTTTCTAGGTAGAGACAGCTCTAATGGCTTCTGTTTGGCCTTTCCCACCATAATAGCCCTCATCCTACCAGTCAGGGAGCCAATGTGGCATTTCTGCCAGCTAATAAGTATGTCTATACAAATTATGCATTTTGGCACTGGGAAAATGACCAGAGGATAAGTCCAGGGACCCACTGGAACCACTGTAAGTCAGAAATGAGCTAAAACTCCATTAATTACCTAACCTCCATAAGCCCCTACTTTAACTGGGGAACCACAATAACGTTTTGGGTACCCTGGAATCAACGTCAGCTCAGAGCCAGTGTCCAGTACTTTCTGAAATGTCTCATTACTTCCCTTTCTCCAGTACACACAGTTACCCTGGTAAAAGGCCAGAGGTCTCCTTAGGGAAGGATGGGAGAAAGAGTAACAGCATAAGTTGTCAGTAGCCTAGTGGTGTCCTTCCTCAAGGGGATCCAGCCTCCCCTTCATTCAGTGGGTTCTGGAACTGTAACAGGTTCGAGTCTGGAAATTGATTGAGGGCCCATGATTCTCTGTTTTTATAATTCAGATTAGTCTTTAGTCCATTCTACCTGGCAGTTTTTTGTTTATATAAATCAAGTAGGAATACAGTAGGTTTCCCATCAATTTCACTTCTAGGAACACCATGATTAATTAGCCAATGCCAGAGCTCTACATGAGTCAGACTATTCTGATGGCTGCTTTGCCTCTGCTGTCTATTATGGTAGTTATGCCCACCTTGCCTTTGATGGTTCAGTGCCAACACTTGGCCCCTGCCACCTCAGGATCCAATTATTCCCATTGTATTTAAATTTTGTAGTTGAGTGACTGTGGTTCCTACTGTTAGATCTGACATACAGAGAAGAGCAATTACGGGCTCTTCAAAAATACAGGTGCTGCTCTCACAAATCTATTTCACAAAGCTTCGGCCAAGGGTGTATCTTCTGGACCCTCCCAGCTGGGATGAGTAGGTCTAAAGTGACTAATCCACTCCACCATCCTAATCTCCCTAAGCCTTTGGATCACTTCCTCTACATTAAACCAAGGCATTTCCAGCTCACTAACATTGGACCATCTTTTAATCCATATTTCAGCTAACCAAGCAAATAAACTATTATAACTTTTTTTTTTTTTTTTTTGGAAATGGAGTCTTGCTCTGTTACCAGGCTGGAATGCAGTGGGGCGATCTTGGCTCACTGCAATCTCTGCCTCACAGGTTCAAGCAGTTCTCTTGCCTCAGCCTCCCAAGTAGATGAGATTACAGTTACGCATCACCATGCCCAGCTAATTTTTGTATTTTTAGCAGAGATGGGGTTTCACCATTTTAGCCAGAATTGTCTCAATCTCCTGATCTCGTGATCTGCCCGCCCCCGCCTCCCAAGGTGCTGGGATTACAGGCGTGAGCCACTGCTCCCGGCCCTATCAGAACCTTTTCTAAGTCCCCGAGCTGCAACATTAAATGCAGAATCCCTACTTAGTAGGGCCAAACCAATAAATTCAGCTTGATCCAACTCTATGTCCCTTCCACCATTATCCCTTACCCTTAATATCCATTCCCATGCCTGTTCTCCAGATTTCTGCCAATATAAATTAGAAAGCTTAAGCAGTTCTTTTAGAGTATAATGCACCTCCTCATGGGTCACACTCTGAACCTCACCTCTGGGGCCCGCAAGGAATTTAGCCTAGTTATAGGTCTAGAAGCATTCAGGGGCATTAGGGGTGCCTCTTGAGGAGAATCAACATTATCTTGCCTGGCAGCTGCCTCAGGGAAGGCCATCACTGTTGCCTCAAGCAGTGCAGGGTTTACATCCTCAGACAAAGGTGGAAAGGCTAATGGCAGCACGGGTCAGGGAGGGGATGTTACCACTACTGGGGATGGGGAAACTGTTTCTTCTGGCAAAAAAGTTTCATCAGAGTTCACAAACTCAGTGTCCTCAGCTTCATCAGGGTTCTCCCACACATCCCCACTCCAAGTTCCAGGGTCCCATTTTTTTCCAGTCAATGCCCTCACTTTAACAGTAAACACCTGGCAAGGCTGTGCATGCACCTCTTGTTGCAGATCAGCTACTCGCATGATAACAGCTTGTCTCTGTTTTTTCACAATTTCAACTCTTTCTCTACAGGAGTTAAAACTCTCATTCAGGGCAATCTTAGCAGATTTGTGGCTCAGTATCTGCTTCTGAAGGTGGGAGACAGATCCCCTGAGATCATCATTTTCTTTCATCTCTTTCTCCAGAGAACTTAGGAGCAATCAACCAACTTCATTATGTTCCTTGGTTCTCCACATATAGTCAAAGGTATTATGTATAGAGTCACTAAACTCCTTGCCTCTCATAAGTGATGAATCAGTAGTGTCAAATGCATTTATTTTGCATAACTCTCTAAACAATTCAGGCCAAGTACTATCAGTGTTCTCCATACTATTAGAAGTAGAGTCCTTAGCATTTTTTGGTCTAATCATATTAATCAGCCAACACCAGAAGTCCCAAAACCAATGAAAGAATTCCATCCTTAATATTCTGTTCCTCAAGAACCACTTCTGGTATGAAAATCTGTATTAGTCGGGGTTCTCTAGAGGGACAGAACTAATAGGAGATTATATATATATATATATGAGAGAGAGAGAGAGAGAGTATATGTATATATGTGTATATATAGTGAGTATACCTATATCTATCTATAGATATAGATATACTCACACAAAGGGGAGCTTATTAAGTGGTATTAACTCACAAGATTACAAGGTCCCATAATAGGCCACCTGCAATCTGAGGAGCAAGGAAGACAGTCCAAGTCCCACAGCTGAAGAACTTGGAGTCCGATGTTCAAGAGCAGGAAGGATCCAGCACAGGAGAAAGATGTAGGCTGGGAGGCTAAGCCAGTCTAGCCTTTTTACATTTTTCTGCCAGCTTTATATTCTGGCTCTACAGCTTGGGGGCAGCAGGGGCAGGGGCCTCAGGGTGCTTGCAGGGATGACACACTGGCCTCTTTTCCATAGGGTGGCTGGGGCACACTGGGGTGTGAGTAAAGCACTCAGGATCTTTTTTCCTTCCCTAGTCCAAGTACAGCAAGGGCAGTATGACTGCAGTGTTAGTGGCAGAAGGACTTTCAGTCACCTCTGGGAGCTTCACCCCACAAAAACACAGAGTGCAGCCAGTGGAAATGTTCAACTGAGTTCGAGGTGCCTGCACTGTGGGCCCAAGCCAGGAGCCTTGCCTGGTGAAGAGTAGCAGGTGAAAGCTCACAAGAAAGAGAAACTGGAATTCTTTCCCTGCTGTGTGCTGGAGGTGTCAGGGAAGTGGCCAGGTCCCTTCTTTCTCAAGCCCAAGGGCATTAACGGTGGTACTGCTGCAGCTGAAATGGCAGAGGGGCTGTGGGTTGTCTCTTGGATTTCCTCCCCAGAGAAGCACAGAGCCAACACTGACTAAAATGTTCAGGCAGGGCCAGGGTGGCTGTGCTCTGCCCAGTGAGGAATAGTAGGGGCAGGGACCAGTGCAGAAAACAGTGTGGCCACTTTTCCATAAGGCAGCTACACTGTGCTGGAGGTCCGTGAGAGTCCTGAAGCTCCTCGCTCCCTCCTGAGCCCATACTTTAATCTCAAGAGTTTGAGATAAACAGTGGTAAGGAAGAAAGTACAACGGGTACGGCTAATGAAACCCAGGAAGATAAGTCAATGCGTAGAAGTAATTCCAACCTAAAGAAATACTTTTTAAAAATCATATTTATAGAGGTTTGCAGTGATACTAAAGACAATATTGCAAATCATTATTAAGAATACAAGAAGTACAATGTTTCTTGTTTCTTTAACACCTGTGATACAGGTGTTTGATATGAATTCTACGTAATGGCTGCATTGCTTCTTGCCACCACCCAAAGAAGGTTGTATAGCACTCAGATGTATACTAACTGCAACCGTGTATCTCTTAGGAATTTCTCCTTTGCCCTCTTCCCTCCCTATCAGCATGTATCTAGCAGCATTCTGAAAAGTTAACTGCACAGTGAGCGACTGCTGGGCATCTTAAGGGGCATTCTTTTCTACCTAGGTATTCCCCCTCCTCCACTCATGTCTAGCATGCAGGACTTGGGTAATCTCTGGGGTTTCAGATTCTCCAGACCTCCATTCTCTCAGGGGCTTCCACCTCCTGCTCATATCTAGCTATCTGCCTAGTCTAACCATAAAATCTTAAATAAGAATAAATCATGTTTGCTCTTGATTGCCATGTCATGATAAAAAAAATAAGACACCATCAGTGGCAACTGTGTTGCCAAGATTGATGTTGATCTGCTAATCCCTGTGTAGAAATGAACCTTGGAGGCCATTGTTTGATTTCTTACAATATGTGCATTGGTTGTAACACTGTCACTTTGACAGTTGATAAGCATCTTCTGAATGGTCCCTCCTTTAGTTACAAAAATGTTGGTGCATGGATGATGTTGGGAATAAATAAAAAGTGAACTAAATTATGTTCTCATCTTGGGCAAAAATTAAGCAAAAAAAAAATGGAGGATATGAAGCTCCTCCACAAAGAAGGCCATTTTTGTACTAGGCTTACTACAGTGACACACCACTATTAGTTGGGGAGAATTCAGTTTTTCCAAGGTGTTGATAGGCATCCAGATTTCAGAGGAAATTGTAAAAAAGCAGAACCTGGGACCAATACTGCCCACGATTTTTCTTTGAGATCAAATCTGAGGCAACAAATCTGTTCAAAAGCTGCTTTCTGCCTGGTTGTGGCAAAGGGTGGCCAAGTGGGGCTCAGCTGTGTTCCCATTGCAAGGCTACTGAGCATCCCCTGTCCTGAGGCTCCTTAGGACACCTGGCTGAGCTTCAGCAGCCCTCTTCCAAGCCTGGAGATGCCAGCTCCATCTCTGGCACAAAATGTAGTGATTTTCACAGGGTGAGAGGCCAAAAGAGGCTAATAAAATGAAGATAGCCAAGCTTCCATGGAATTAAGCAACAGGACAACCTTGACCACTTTGAGGGGTGTGGTGGGGGCCACATGCAGATGGAGTGGGTTAAAGAGTGACTAGAAGAGCAGTGGGGGTGGCAGCAGGAGAGAAGCCTGGCTCTGAAAGCAGCGAGACTTCTAGGGAATACAGGGTCAGGGGAGGTTCTGAAAGATGACACACTGCAGAGAACATGTGTTTGTATGCCGATGACAAGTATCCAGTAGAAAGGCAGATGAACAGATTCTCATTCTCAGAAAGGCCTGTCCTGACCTCCTGAGAGTACACAGACCATGAGGGCAGGGCAAGGAGGAGGATGCACGCTCACTGTTTCATGCAAAGTCCTTGGCCACAGTCCACCTGCTCCCCACCTCTGTGACTTTGTCCTTCCTCAATTTAATATGCTCTATGCTGGAAAACTGGATTATTGAACAGGCATTGGCTGATGCATTCTGAACCTAATCCACTAAAAAGCACTTGATAGATATATCAAAATATCATTGAGAAATAGATATTTTAGGCCCATATCCATGTCTTCACCCCGCACTGTTTCTCATTTGAACTCTCTTTTCCAGGAAGAGTTGTGCTTGGGTAAATTCTATAGCTCACAGTGTGACTTCAAAACACACAATAAATTAATAAGGTGCTTCCTACAGTGAGTTCAGTTAAACATTTTGAAGAGTGTTTTTGAAATGTAGCAGAGCAGGCTACAATTGATATTCAAAAAGAGGAAACTTCCATTTATTTCCCCCTTTAACTAAGTTACCTGTAACTGTGTCATTTTATTATGCTTCATAGAGCATCACTGCTGAGATCCCCTCCCCAGCTCATGTTGCTAGGAAATATCCCAAAACAGAATCAATTTTTCTTTTTTTAACCTGATGATTTTTCCACAATCCTTTTGTTTCTCTGATTCACCTCCAGGGCTCATATGGCAATGGGGATTTAATAGGGTTTATTTGTTGGTGAAGAAACATTAAACAAATCTTTTAATAGGAAAAATACTTTTATATTATAGGCAAAATGTAGATGTATATTGCTACTGAAGTAAATGTATTTTATTAATGGTGTGAGAATTTCTTCCTCACTGTGGTGTGTGAATGTGTATGCATATTTGCATGTGTAAAAGACTTAGCAATTTGTGAATAGAAGATGTTTCTCCGCTTCTCACTGAGCATGGCTGTAAAAGAAACTTTTTCCTCTCCCCGGGCATTCCAGCACACATTGGAAAGATAACACGTCCACAGAAAGCCTGGCTTTCCAAAAGAGCTTATCAGAGAATGTGCCCCCCAGGTCGATTAAAACATATGTTAATCCTGTGGCAGAGAAGTTTGTTCTAGCCTTTGGGTGTAGCCTGCTGAATAAGTTCACAGTGATCTACATCCTAGTTTCCATGGGCTGAAATAGAATATTCATATCCCCTGCACTCCCTACACACACAGACATAGACACCAATTTCCCCAAAAAACTCTTTGCTTAATCTTCTCCTGCTCTGTATTTTCTTTGATATTTTCTTGAATGGCTTCCACTAAATTCAAATGTGTTTGACTTTAAAGTCAACTTGTAAAATTTTATCTGGTAATTTATAGATTAAATTGCAAGCATCTACCTCCCTTTCATCAGACTCTCCCTGCAGGGCAAGTTCATCTAACTATGTATGTGCTTCAAGATGGAACTCCTGAGTTCACAGGTGATTTATAAACCAAAGCATGCCCACTACAAAACTCTCACCCTCCAGAGATTTGCCTCAAGGGACAACACCCTGCTCACAAAGGCACCAGCAGGCAACTGCTCAACTACCTGGTGGATAAGGTGCCCAAGCTAGCATGGACCCCTGAATCCTTGCTCGCCTCCTCTGTTGCCTTTTAAAAGTGCCACTTTCTGCTCCTAAAGTGAAGTAGTACGGCAGGACTGCTGCATTTCTTCCCCTAAGCTAGCTTTGGAAGCAAATCACTTTCTTTATACCAGACTTCTCTCTTCTTAATTGGATTCTGCAAGTGGCAAACAATTAACCTGCTCTTCAGTTACATTGGAATGTGTTTAGATTTATTTTTTCAAATGTTGGAACAAAGATGAAAAAGTGAGAAGAGCCCTAGATTTTTTCTTGGAAATCTGGCTTAAATCCAGGTTTCTTTATTTCCTTGATTTGGGAATTTGGTCACGAGACAAATAACATGATTTTCCTAAGTCTAGATTTCTTTGTTTATAAAATGGGGATGACTATGCTACCCTACCTATACCATGAGCTAAATAAGCTAGTATTTGTAAAGGACACACACTTACATTCACAATCACACACGGTGTGTATGTGTGTATGTATGTATAAAAATGTGGGGACCTAACCCACTCAACAAATACCCTGAGTATTTGTTGAATCATTATATGCGTATATCATCTGGCAAATGGATGTGTATAATTTCTCCAGGGATAAGAAGCAAATGTATACCGATGGAAAGCCTTACTCAGGCCATAACAAAGAGAGAAATGCTGAGTCCCACTCCATGAACAGGTCAAGGAACCAAACATATTCAAAGAGTTATTTCATTGTTTCAACTTGCTAGTGAGGGGAGCATGGCACCTGAACAGAGATGATATAAATTAATGAAACTGAGAACCAAGCGAAGAGCTTAGCCATCCTTTGCATAGTTAGCTACAATGGCTATTTATTTTTCAGCCAGACTGGCCATCATGTAGGCACACTCTTTTAGATTAGAAAAATCAACCATTATTTTTTCTGCCCATTCATTCCAGCACCGTGACAGTCTTCACGGGGAAATTAAACTTATTTTTTTAAGAATTTTTCAATCATATACAAGATTTTGAACTGGGAATTTCATGAATCAAAAATTAAATGAATTGCACATAAAGCCATGGCATATGTATTTTTACTACATTGTGGGAGAAAAAATAATTCTTATAATTTAAAAAAACTATGTCTTACCTGATTTCAGAAATAAAAGAAGTAGAAGAACCACTTCCTTATGTTCCATTTTGGGACTGGCCAGCAGTGCCCAGAAAGTGTGTCCCAATCCCAGGACATTGTTGACTTACATGAGAGTAAACGCACCCACAAACCAGATAGTCAAATTAAGTTAATGATTCTCTCAGAGACCCATGCCACTGGCTCAGCAGGGTTCAAACATTACCTTGAATATAGAGTCTTATAAAATATTTGAGAGTGCAATGTCAATAGATGCTGGGAAGTGGTGAAAGCCATTTCCCCCCTCAGCTGCTCCACATTGCCTTTATGTCTCCTTACTCCTTCCCTCACCCCTAGACCTTCATCTTTCCTGATTAGTCTTGTTTCCTCCCCTCTTCTTTCATTCTCTTTCTTTTGGATAAAATAAAATCATAAAAGTAGCTCATATTTGCTGGTAACTTCCATGACCAGACCCTCTGCCAAGTGCTGCACATCCATAGCCTCCCTCAAGCTTTCCAACAGGCAGTGCTGTACGAGGAGGGGGCTGAGGCCTTCCCGAGGTTGTGTCGCTACCCAGGGGTGCAGCTGATAGACACAACCCTTTCAGGTCTTAGTTTACGAGCAAGCTAGGTATAAATGTTAACATCTCCACATCCTATACCAAACTGTGCCGAAATGACAACATAAGTGAAAATCTTTTATTATCTTCAAAATTTATTTATTCCTAGTGAACTCACATGTTTTCTGTAATTATAAATTATGTTATAAGATATCAATCCTTCCAGGAGGGGGTGGTGGCTCATGCCTATAATCCCAGCATTTTGGGAGGCCACGGCAGATGGATCACCTGAGGCCAGGAGTTTGAGACAAGCCTGGGCAACATGCCAAAACCCTGTCTCTACAAAAAATACAAAAATTAGCTGGGTGTGGAGGCACATGCCAGTCATCCCAGCTACTAAGTAGGCTGAGGCACTAGAATTGCTTGAACACAGGAGATGGAGGTTGCAGTGAGCCAAGAATGTGCCACTGCACTCCAGCCTGGGTGACAGAGCAAGAATGTCTCAGGAAAGAAAAAAAAATAATAAATACCAAATAAAATTAATAAAATATCAATCCTTCCTATTCTAGTAGTTGTGGCTTAAATAAATAAATAAATATTTTTAAAAATAAAACATAGGGTCGAGTGCGGTGGCTCAACTCTGTAATCCCAGCACTTTGGGAGGCCAAGACAGGTGGATCACAAGGTCAGGAGTTTGAGACCAGCCAGGCCAATGTGGTGAAACCCCATCTCTACTAAAAATACAAAAATTAGCCAGGCGTGGTGGTGGGCACCTGTAATCCCAGCTACTAGGGAGGCTGGAGTATTCACTTGAACCCAGGAGGTGGAAGTTGCAGTGAGCCAAAATCACGTCAGTGCACTTCAACCGGGGTGAGAGTCTCAATAAAATAAAATAAAATAAAATAAAATAAAATAAAATAAAATAAAAGCATAGTATCAATCTTTCCGCAAATGAATTCATGGTGCAATCTTACATTTTCGTTCTCATGAAGTAAAGCAAGAGTGGTAGAATTAAGTGGAAAGAGTCTATCTCTAGTGTAGTCACGTCAGTGGTTGTGTCAAGATGGTTAGGAGGCTCCTCCCGTTTAAAACAGTATCCAAGCCCCAGTTGTAAATCAATTGGGGAGACACGCCAACTCTGATCATCAGCAATATCTGAGCTCCAGTCTCAGATATTGTGTGCAGTTAGTCTCTGTCCTGTACCCTCTACCTCCTTCCCTACCAGAAAAATCACCACTTTAGTCCCTGGCCACCGGGACACCCCAGGAGGGTGAGTGGTCTGAGGTAGTTATGGCACTTATGGCTCCCTTGCTGCTGATCTGGAACTCAAGCCCCAAGAAGTCCCCTTGGATGATCTGAATATACATTTGGGACAGATCTAGGGAGTTTCTGAGCAACACTTAGACTGGGGTCTTCCATTGATTAAATCCTACTTGAATTCGCTACTTTGGGACTCAAGTCTAAGGGACTGAGACTGAGACAGGAGAGCACAAGACTAACTTTGGTCTCTTGATCTTTTCTTACCTTGCAACTGTCAATGCCTCCAGCCAAATGCCCAGCACAGAGCTCAGTGGATTTGACTCTTCCATTCAGAAACTCATAGCGATTGCACACTTCATTCTCAATCACAGGGAGCTGGGCTTCCTTGAGAAAGCCAGCCCCAAAGGTACCTGTGTTTAAAAAGATGAAAGAAATGGTAACTACGTCCACAACATGTTCACAAGGAAACTCCAGAAGAACAGAGCAGTGGTGATGGACCTCCTGTCTGTCCGTGAGGCTGTAGAACACAAGGCAGCTCCCAATGCTGCCAGACTCTCTGAACCCTGGAGAGTGTAAACGTCATATAAGAGTCTATGTTCCAAAAACCTGGATTTAACAATCTGAGCTTTGTCATGGTGCTTTGCGGTTGGTTGTTGTTTCTTTACCTTTTTCTTTGCTTTTAAAACCATAAAGAATAATGTTTAAATGTAGAGTCTGAGAAATGCAATTGCTATTGTTTTTATATTTTCAGACTTTTTGTATGCTTCTTTCACTAATTACATCATATCACAAAATTTCACACCCTGATTTTTTCACTCAACATTACATAATGAGTTTTGTATAGTGCTATGATCTTCATAACTAATATTTTAAAGGAGAGCTACTGATTAATGAGCATGAGGTTTCCTTTGGGGATGAGGAAAATATTCTGGAAATATGATGATGGTTGCACACCACTGTGAATGTACTAAATGCCACTTGGTGGTACCCTGCAAAAATGGTTAAAATAGTAACTCTTACGCTGTGTACATTTTATTGCAATAAAAAAGAATAGTCATCATTTACTAAGCATTATCCTTTCCAGGCACAAGCTTATAATGTGGTGTATCTCACTTCATCCTCACAACAGTCCTATGAAACAGGCAGTTCCATCACTCCTGCTCTACAGTTAAGGAAACTGAGGTGTAAGGAGGTTGTCTAGTTCAACCTGAGCCTGGGTCTGCGGAGTCACTGCCCAAATGCTTCCTCCCCGTGCGCGTTGGCCCCCCTCTTGCTTCCAACCCTCCACATCTTTGTTCATAAAGTTCATTCTTATTCCTTAATATTTTCTGAGCCTAAGTTCCCATAAATTATATAGACATATTTCTGTCTCCCAATAACACTGCCAATTTATTTTCTAGAAGGTTATGACAGTGTAAAATGTCACTAGAAAACAATCACTTCACCACACTTGTATGAGTGTTCAATTTTTAAATATTAGCTAATCTAACAGGTTGAAATTGTCCTGATTCATTTTCTAATTTATACTTCTTTGACAATTTGGGAGAGTGAAGATTCTCCTGGTTGTGTTTATTCTTTTGTGAAAAACTGCTTTATTTTCTTTGCCAAATTCAAATAGAACGGTTGCAAAATTGCCAGAGGAAATGCTGTTTTTCCAGATGGACACACCCAGGGATGTTTCAGTGTTCTCACAAATAATCCAGTTTTCTAATTTTGCAAGCCCAGCTTTCATTAGAATTTTGCAAAAATCCTTGCTTTGCGAGCATGGCACAGGCAAGAGATGAGGCACTCTCTCTTTCTTCCCCCAGAGCCTTTGACTGCACTTAGATCATTGACTTTGGTTCAGAAACCTGACTGCATCTGGAGTTGACATGAGCAGCATGGAAGATGTTTGTCCCAGCACCTCACTCCAGAGGCCAGCTCAGCTCAATCTGGGCAGAGCTGCATGATGGAAGTTTCTGACTACCAAGCATCGGGCAGAGGGTGCATCACCTGGACTACATAGTTGTGTGAGGGAGCACCGTTCTCTAGAATCTGCTATTTGAGCAAGGCAAACATCCTGATAATGGTGAAAACCTACCGCAAGTTGCCAGGAAAGTTGATGTGGTCTGCGAGTAGGTGCTGCCATCCAGTGGCCGACATAGAGATGTCATCTCTGAGGGCAGGTAGGCCACAGGTGACAAGAGGATTGAAGCCCTCCCTGATGGGGCCTTGGGGAGAGGGCAGCAGGGTAAGTCCAGCGGCAGGATCAGTCCATTGATTGTGGATGACGACTGACCTGGAAAATCCCCTTGGCCTCAACACCTCCAAACTCTGCATTTGATCCAAGTCAGGGAACACCTGGAAACATGAAGGGGAGAGCAGGAAAACTTTGACCTCCCTCTCAGAGGCTGAGAACGCCAATTGACCTGATGTCATTATTGACATGTAGAAAATTGATGAACAGGCCTGAGTTATGTTTTGTGGCACCTCATGGTCTAGTTAGTGTTCTGAGAATCATTTTCTCAGTGGACCTGCAGGTGAGACCAGGCGAGGCAGAAGCCTAGTGGGGGATGGTGGTTAGAAATGTGTGGATGGTTGTGGGGCAGAAGAAACAGCAAGTAGGCTCTGGGCCAGCTACAAACTGGTTATATGATGTCTACTGATGATGATAGTGATGGTGGTGGTGGTGGTGATGGTGGTGGTGGTAATAATTGTGATGGTGGTGGAATGATGATGATGGTGGTGGTGGGTAGTAATGATGGTGTTGGTGATGGTGGTAGTGGTCGTGGTGATGGTGATAGTGATAGTGATGGTGGTGGTAATGATAATGCTAATGGTGGTGGTAATGATAATGATTATCATGATGATAGCGGTGGTGATGGTGATGGTGATGATAATGGTGATGGTGGTAGAATGATGATGATGGTGATGGTGGTGGTGGTGGTAGTAATGATGATGGTGGTGGTGATGATGTTGAGGGTGATGATAATAGTGACAGTGGTGGTGGTAATGATAATGGTGATGGTGGAATGATGGTGATGGTGGTGGAATGATGATGGTGGTGCTGAGTAGTAATGATGGTGATGGTGGTGGTGGCTGTGGTGATGATGGTGGTGGTAGTGGTAGTAACGATGATGGTGGTGGTGATGATAGTGATGATGGTGATGATGTTGAGGGTGATGATAATAGTGATAGCGGTGGTGGTAATGATAATGGTGATGGTGGCGGTGGTGATGATGTTGATGAAGATGATAATGGGAGTGGTGGTGGCAATGTGGATGGTGATGATGATGTTGACGATGATGATGCTCATCACAATCACCTTATATGTTAGTACAGGTAAGAAAGCCAAGGCTAAAAGAGATTAAATAACTGCCCAATGTCACATGGAAGATGGTAGAGCCAGAATTCACACCCAGATCCTTATGATTTTAGCTTGGTGCTTTCATCAGTTGAGGTATTGGAGAGGATCTGTTTGCTTTCTGGCTGCCCAGCAGTCTATCACCCTACATCCCATAATCCTGTTGAGGGATCCACCCTTTGCCCTTCTGGGTATGAGTGGGGTCCTGCCTCCACCTCTAGCATGTAATAGCTGATGCAGGTTGGAGCCAATCAGTGATGGGTTCAGGGACAGGCCTGTGACCCAAGTTCAACCTCTCAGACCTGGCCAACTATTGTTCACTTAATGGGGACAGTGGCCTTCCTCAGTCTTTCCTGGCAAAGCAAGAGCTGCCACAGCATCTGCCACCACAAGAATCTCACCTTTGTGCCCAAGGATGATGCCTACTGCATGGCTGGACAGGGCCTGGGCCCTGGGGCCATCATGTGAGCCTAAAGACTTTTCAGCTCAACAAGAATTCCCCTTTTTTGCTTAATCCATCTTAAGTTGGATTTTCTGTCACTTGCAAGAAAGAGTCATGTTAGATACAACTCTATTCTGTATATTAGTAGGAGCTGCCATGATGGAGTGCGTAGCACGTGCTCGACACTTGATGCACATTCTTATTGTTTCTCCCCCGACAACCCTGCAGCCCCCATTTCATATAAGAAAACAATCAATGAGAGTTCATGACTTTTCTAAGTCCCGACAGCCAGTAAGTGGGAACCAGGGTTCCAATTCAGGTCTCCCTGTGCCATCCTGCACCTTCTCTGAGCCTCAGGTTCCTCACTTGTAAAATAGGAACAATAATATCTAAGTCTTAGAGGTTTGCAGCATTTAAATTTTTATAAGTGCAAAACACTGGGAGCAGCCTGGCACACCCAAAGGTGTTCCTCTTTTGCCAAGTTTCCTTTTAGTTGGCCTCAGTGTTCCCAGACTCAGGAGTGCAGAAAGGGGGATCAAGAAACCAAGGAGGATGACATTTTAAAAATAGTAGAAAAAGCACAGAAAAAGGAAAGCAAACTTTGCAATTATCTAGACCAGTGGTTTTTAACCTTTTTGTTAAACAAAAAACAAACAAACAAAAACCTTTCTTCAAATGACAGCTTATGCAAAAGGCTGATGTGGAAAACACCACTTGAAAATGCTGGTTTTACAAATGAGGGGTTGGAGTCAAGTCATACAAAGAGTTAACGTGCCTAGTCCAGGTCTGTCTGGCTAGTGGCAGAGTCAGAACGCTTTTCTAGGGCTCCAGACTCATAATGTCCTCACCAGCACCTCTGAGAAAGTCAGCAGAGTCAGAACGCTTTTCTAGGTTCCAGACTCATAATGTCCTCACCAGCACCTCTGAGAAAGTCAGGCAGAGATCCCAAAACAGTCTTAGTGTTCCAGTGGTCAAGGGGGTAAGTCTGATAGATATAATTATTGTCAGGGCATACTGAAAAATGAAGAAGGAATCCCTAAGATGTAGTCCAGGTGCTGATACCACATCCTGCACAGATGTTCCCTCTCTTTCTCTCACCCATCAACCAATACCAAATACTATCCTAGATTTGGGGCCATGGGGCCTGTCTGCCTCTCCCTTAGCTGCAGGTCCCCTGCCTAACACCCTCCCACACACATTAGACATGTGGATTTGGTAAGAAGGCTAGTTTATTATAACTTTTGTCATTATTGTTTTACATCATGTTTAGAAATACAATCTGGCTAATTTCACATAAAAAATAATCTAACACCCTTAAGGGCTGGGTGAAAACCCCACTTACCTGAGGAAGCAATATGAATGCTGGAGTTATGAATTCAGAGACTCAAAGACCTTTACTGGTTTTCTGCTTGTTTTAGGTATAAAGGAAATACACAATCATTAAAATAAAAAATGGATCACACCCCAAAACTTCAACAGCAAAACTATTTTGCTAACATGCCCCACTATGAAACCAAAGACAAGAAGTCAGCTACAAATAAAGACCCTGTACAAGGCCTTGGCCCTGTGAAAACCTCCAAAGAAGAAGTCTATTGGCTGTACTCAATCTACACTGCAGTTAAAGAAACACCCACACAGAGACATGAGAAAGAACCAACGTAAGAACTCCAATAAATCAAATGGCCAGAAGGTCATATGTCCTCCAAACAACTGCACCAGTTTTCCAACAAGGGTTCTTAACAAGACTGAGCTAACTCAAATGACAGAAATATAATTCAGACTACGGATACAAATGAAGATCATCAAGATTTAGCACAATGGCAAAATCCAATTCAAGGAAATTAAAAATCACAATAAAATAATATAGAGGCTGAAAGATTAAATTGCTGGTATAAAAAAAGAACCTAACGGATCTGACAGAGCTGAGAGCTGAGAAACAAACTATAAGAATTTCACAATGCAATCCAAGTATTAATAGGAGAATAGACCAAGCTGAGGAAAGGATCTCAGAAATGGAAGACTAGCTCTCTGCAATCAGACAGTTGACAAAAATGAAGAAAAAAGAAGGAAAATGAATGAACAAAACCTACAAGAAATATGGGGAAAAAAGGCCAAATCTACAAATCATTGGCATCTCTGAAAGGGATGGGGAGAAAGCTAACAATCTGGAAAACAATTTAGGATACCAACCATGAAAACTTCCCCAATCTTGCTAGAGAGGCCAACAGTCAAATTCAGAAAATACAGAGAATCCCTGCCAGATTCTACACAAGAAGATCATCCCAAGACACATAATCATCAGCTTTTCCAAGGTCAAAATGAAAGACAGAATGTTAAAGGCAACTAGAGAGAAAGGGCAGGTCATCTACAAAGGGAACCCCATCAACCTAACAGCATACCTCTCAGCTGAACCTCTGCAAGCCAGAAGAGATTGTGGGCCTATATTCAACATTTTAAAATATATATATATTCAGCCAAAAATTTCATATCCAACCAAACTAAGCTTCCTAAGCAACAGAGAAATAAGATCCCTTTTAGATAAGCAAATGTTGAGGGAGTTTGTTACCACCAGACCTGCCTTACAAGAGATCTTGAAAAGAGCACCAACTATAGAAAGGAAAGAGGGCTACTAGCCAATACAAAAATACAATTAAATTCACAAACCAGTGACACTATAAAGCCACCACACAAACAAGCCAGCATAAAAACACAATCAGAGCATCAAATTCACACATACCAATACTTGCCTTGAATGTAAATGGGCTAAATGCCCAACTTAAGAGGCACAGAGTGGCAAGCTCGATAAAAAAGCAAGACCCAATTGTATGCTGTTGTCAAGAGAACCATCTCACATGTAATGACACCCAAAGGCTCAAAATAAAGAGATGGAGGAGAATCTACCACGCAAATGGAAATCAGAAAAAAGCAGGGGTGGCAATCCTAATTTCAGACAAAACAGACTTTAAACCAACAAAGACCAAAAAAGACAAAGAAGGGCATTACATAATGGTAAAGGGTTCAATTCAACAAGACCAACTATCCTAAATATATATGCATCCAACACAAGAGCACCCAGCTTCATAAAGAAAGTTCTTAGAGACCTACAAAGAGACTGAGATGCCCACACAATAATAGTGGGAGACTTCAGCAGTTCACTGACAGTATTAGACAGATCATTGAGGCAGAAAACTTACAAAGATATTCAGGACCTGAACTCAACATTGGATCAAATGGATCTGATAGACCTCCACAGAACTCTCTACCCCCAAACAATAGAATATATATTATTCTCATAATCACATGGCACATTCTCTAAAAATCAACCACATAATTGGACATAAAACAATCCTCAGCAAATGCAAAAGAACCAAAATTATACCAAAAACACCCTCAGACGACAGCTCAATAAAAATAGAAGCCAAGACTAAGAAAATTACTCAAAACCATGCAATTACATGGGAATTAAACAACATGCTCCTGAATGACTTGGGGGTAAATAATAAAACTAAGGCAGAAATCAAGAAGTTCTTTGAAACTAAAGAGAATTAAGAAACAACATACTGGAATCTCTGGGACACAGCTAAGGTAGTGTTAAGAGGGAAATTCATAGCATTAAAAGCTCACATCAAAAAGAAAGATCCCAAAGTAAGAACCTAACATCACAACTTGAAGAATTAGAGAAACAAGAGCAAATCAACTCCAAAACTAGCAGCAGGCAAGGAAAACCAAAATCAGAGTTGAAATGAAGAAAGTCAAGACATGAAAAAACATTCAAAAGATCAACAAATCCAAGAGTTGGTTTTTTGAAAACATTAATAAGACAGATAGTTTGCTACCTGGCTAATAAAGAAGAAAAGAGAGAGAAGACCCAAAGTAACACAATTACAAATGACAAGGGGGATGTTAGCACTGACCCCACAAAAATAAAAATAACCATCAGAAACTACTACAGACAGCTCTATGCACACAAACTAGAAAATCTAGAAGAGATGGATAAATTACTGGACACATACACCCTCCCAAGACAGAACCAGGAAGAAATTGATTCCTTGAACAGAACCACAATGATCTCCAAAATTGAATCAGTAATGAATAGCCTACTAAGAAACAAAAGGCCAGGACCAGATAGATTCACAGCTGAATTCTACCAGATGTGCAAAGAAGAGCTAGTACCATTCCTACTGAAACGTCAAAAAAAATTGAGGAAGAGGGACTGCTTCCCATTTTATTCTATGAGGCCAGCATCATCCTGATACCAAAACCTGAAAGAGACACAACAACAATAAAAACTTCAGGCTGATATCCTTGATGAACACTGATACAAAAATCCTCAACAAAATACTTGCAAACCTAATCCAGCAGGACATCAAAAAGCTAATCCATCATGATCAAATAGTCTTCATCCCTGGGATGTAAGATTGGTTCAACATATGTAAATCAATAAAATGTGACTCATCACATAAATGTGACTAAAGACAAAACCCACATGATTATCTTGATAGATGCAGAAAAGGCTTTTGAAAAAATGTACCACCGTTCATGTTGAAAACTCTCAATAAACTAGGTATTGAAGGAATATATCTCAAAATAATAAGAGACATCTATGACAAACCCACAGCCAGCATCATACTGAATGGGCAAAAGCTGGATGCATTCCCCTTGAAAACCAGCACAAGGTAAGGATGCCCTCTCTCATCAGTCCTATTCAACACAGTATTGGAAGTCCTGGCCAGAGCAGTCAAGCAAGGGAAAGAAATAAAGAGCATCCATACGGGAAGAGAGGAAATCAAACTATCCCTGTTTGCAGATGACATGATTCTGTATCTAGAAAACCCCATAGTCTCAGCCCAAAAGCTCCTTCTCTGTTAATCAACTTCAGCAAAGTTTCAGAATACAAAATCAAAATACAAAAATCACTAGCATCCCTATACACCAAGAGCCAAGCCGAGAGCCAAATCAGGAACACAATCCCATTCACAATTGCCACAAAAAATAAAATACCTAAGAATACAGCCAACCAGGGCGGTGACAGATCTCTACATTGAGAATTACAAAATGCTGCTCAAAGAAATCAGGGATGACACAAGTGAATGGAAAAACATTCCATGCTCATGGATCGGAAGAATCAATATCATTAAAATGGCCATATGGCCCAAAGTAATTTACAGATTCATTGCTATTCCTATCAAACTGCCAATGACATTCTTCACAGCACTGTTAAAAAACTATTTTAAAATTTATATAGAACCAAAAAGGAGCCAGAATACCCATGGTAATCCTAAACAAAAAGAACAAAGGTGGAGGCATCACATTACCTGTCTTCAAACTACACTTCAGGGCCATAGTAACCAAAACAACATGGTACTGGTGAAAACAAAACAAAACAAAACAAACAAACAAACAAACAGACACATAGACCAACGGGACAGAATAGAGAGCCCAGAAATAAGGCCAAACCTACAACCATCTGATCTTTGACAAAGCTGACAAAAATCAAGGTCTAATATCCAGCATCTATAAGAAACTTAAACAAATTTACAAGAAACAAAACAACTCCATTAAAAAGTATGCAAGAGACATGACCAAACACTTTTCTAAAGGAAACATACAGGCAGCCCACAAGCATATGAAAAAATGCTCAATATCACTGATAGTTAGAGAAATGTAAATCAAAACCACAACGAGAAACCATCTCATCTCAGCCAGAATGGCTATTATTTTTAAAAAAGTCAAAAAATAACAGATGCTGGAAAGGTTGTGGAGAAAAGGGAGCACTTACACACTGTTGGTGGGACTGTAAATTAGTTCATCTATTGTAGAAAGCAGTCCAGTGATTCCTCAAAGAGCTAAAAACAGACCTAACACTCAACCCAGCAATCCTATTACCGGGTATATACCCAGAGGAATATAAATTACTCTATCATAAAGACAGATGAATGTGAATGTTCATTGCAGCACTATTCATAAGAGCAAAGACTTGGAATCACCTATATGCCTATCGATGACAGATTGGATAAAGAAAATGTGGTACATATACACCATGAAATACTATGTGGCCATAAAAAAGAATGAGATAATGCCTTTTACAGGAACACGAATGGAGCTGGAGGCCATTATCCTTAGAAAACTAACACAGGAACAGAAAACCAAATACCACATGTTCACACTTACAAGTGGGAGCTAAATGATGACAACTCATGGACACAAAAATGGGAGCAACAGACACTGGGGCCTACCTGAAGGAGAAGAGCGGGAGGAGAGAGAGGAGCAGGAAATACTAAGTATTGGGTACTAGGCTTAGGACCTAGGTGACAAAATAATCTGTACAACTAACCCACGAGACACAAATTTACTTATGCAAAAAACCTGCACATGTAACCCTGAACCTAAAATAAAAGTTAAAATTAATTAAAATAGAATGAAAAAGGTTCTGAAAAAAAAAAAAAAAAAGAGAGAGACTCAAAGAAACAGTCTTCCACCCCTTGCCCATGTGCCTTCAAGACCCATTATGCAGAAATACACAGCTGCCCCGGCAAAATCAGGAGTGGGTGGACCACATTCATGGATAGGAATTTGCACAGCTTTCTCCAAAATGATCATTTTGTCACATGGACTGTAGGTCAAAACCAATTCGTTATGTGGGCAATGGAATTTATCTCACCTTGGGTTTCTCCCCAGTCAGTGATGTAACATTCAGTCTGGTCGGCGACCACATAATTTGGGGATGGCAGACAAGCTGGGATTACTTTGTCAGTGATGACGGCAGGACTGAAAGAAAAGCATCAGCAGTTATGTTTGACTGCTCTGCTAGCAGCTGCAGCACCCACAACCAGGCATCCCTGCCTTGAAGCTCCAGAGCCCTCTGAGCTGGCACTGCCTTGCTTCACTGGCACAGAGCAATGTAGAACATAGAGTTTCACCCTCACATTTGCCTGTGGTTGCCTATGGACTACGCAGATATAAGGTTTCATTTGAAAGGCATCAGTTGCATATAAGAAACTGCTGGTGGCCTTCACCTTTGAAAGTAGGGATGACAAAGGCGCACTTCTCATGTATATTCTGTGCACAACTGGAATCTCACGCCGAGTGCATCCTTTTACAT